>NC_000006.12:159464729-159616244 GCF_000001405.40 Homo sapiens
GTATCCCACACTCATTTTAAAGTAAATAAAAAGATTCTCAAGTATATTTCTCCATCTTTCAATATTTTGAGCATTTTCAGACACTTAGAGAGTGTGAGCAAAAATATTTAATCTTTAAGTTAACAGAGGGGCTTAAAAACAATAAGATACTGCAGCAATCTGAGGACTGAGGGGCTTCAGGATGACTTTAAGAAGAGACTTCTGCAGAGCTCAGATGCTCGATACGCAAAGGAAATCTGTCGGAGCGGCGTCCAGCTAGCTCCGTGCGTGCACAGACACTTGAGCATTATTTTCCTGGCACTCAGCAATTCATTCCCCAGACCTGAGAACATCATCTAAATCTTAATTGACGCCATAGCTACACTTGACTGGGAGAGGAAGACGAGTCCAGGCTCCATATGTATGTAAATCACATATTATAATTGGATCTGTAATTCTCATTCCCTTATTCACTTTTTCTAATTTAATTCACAATAATATATAGATATAAGGTATAGGTTATTGTAAATTAAATTAGATATATAATATGTGTGTTTAGATACAGAGAGACAGAGACAGTGTGTACCATTTTATAATATGAGAGCTCTGCATCTTCTAAGACCTGAGGAAGGTCATCCCAGCTTTCTGTCAGGAAAGGAAACAGCACTTCTCAAAAAATAGAAAGGTAACATGTTCACCTAGTGCTCCAGCACCTCATCCATTCTGGGGATGCTGTAGCTGCCATTTTTTTTTTTATAATTGACTTCCCCCTATACTCAGTTACTTCTAGAATGGGACTCAGCAAACCTTTCCTTAGAAAGAGAGAAATAGTAAATATTTTAGGCTTTGTGGACTGTCTCTGTGTCTCTGTTTTCTTCCCTTTTTTTTTTTTTGAGACAGAGTCTCACTCTGTCGCCCAGGTTGGAGTGCAGTGGTGCGATCTCCGCTCACTGCAAGCTCCACCTCGTGGGTTCACGCTATTTTCCTGCCTCAGCCTCCCGGGTAGCTGGGACTACAGGCACCCGTCACCATGCCTGGCTAATTTTTTTTTTTTTTTGTATTTTTAGTAGAGACGGGGTTTCACCATCTTAGTCAGGATGGCTCAATCTCCTGACTTCGTGATCCGCCCGCCTCGGCCACCCAAAGTGCTGGAATTACAGGTGTGAGCCAGCCACCGTGCCTGGCCTTTTTTTTTTTTTTGGCAGAGTCTTGCTCTGTCACCCAGGCTGGAGTGCAGTGGCATGATCTCGGCTCACTGCAACCTCTGCCTCCTGGGTTCAAGTGATTCTCCTGCCTCAGCCTCCTGAGTAGCTGGGATTACAGGTACACACCACCACACCCTGCTAAGTTTTGTATTTTTAGTGGAGACTGTGTTTCACCTTGTTGGCCAGGGTGGTCTTGAACTCCTGACCACAAATAATCTGCCCGCCTTGGCCTCCCAAAATGCTGGGAATACAAGCGTGAGCCACTGTGCCCGGCTTCTTCTTCTTCTTCTTTTCTTACAACCATTAAATTTTAAAAAATCATTTCTGCTAGATGTAGCTTGTGACATAGTTTACCAACCCCGGCTTTAGAATGGGCCTAATAGTATTGCCCAGGATGGATTCAGCTCACGTGAAGGCTTGCATTCTTTGGCAGAGCATGATATGGAGCTGGAGAGGAGGGGAGAGGAGAACAGAAGGCAAGGTGGGAAAGGACACCTGGCAGAGACAACATCTGGATCCTGAACCTGGAGGAGAAATCCACTTATATCTCACTTTAGATTTGCCAGCTGCTTTTATTTTTATTTGGACTTACAGAAAGGTGAGGCTGGGTGTGGTGTCTCATGCCTGTAATCCCAGCACTTTGGGAGGCCGAGGCAGGTGGATCACGAGGTCAGGAGATGGAGACCATCCTGGCCTACATGGTGAAACCCCATCTCTACTAAAACACAAAAAAAATTAGCTGGGAGTGGTGGTGTGCGCCTGTAGTCCCAGCTACTCGGGAGGCTGAGGCAGGGGAATCACTTGAACTGGGAGGCAGAGATTGCAGTGAGCTAAGATCACGCCACTACACTACAGCCTGGGCAACAGTGAGACTCCGTCTCAAAAAAAAAAAAAAAAAAAAAGAAAGAAAGAAAGGAAGGAAGAAAGAAAGAAAGAAGGAAAGAAAGAAAAAGAAAGAAAGAAAGAAACAAACAAACAAAAAGAAAGGTAAGAGGCAAGAGGATTGGGAAAGAATTCTCCATGTATAGTGACCAGCCTTGAAAAACAGAATTAATACCTGCTGTTGGAGAAAAGGGCAGGCAAACTTACTGCCCATCATGAAAGATTTGGGTTCTCTGAGCTCAGGGATCTCCTCCTATAATGCAAGTCACTATGTGAATAAGTGTCATCTGGCCTTCTTCACACGCCCTATGGAAATTGGGGCTCAGGACAGATATGAACAACTGCTGATACTCTGCCTACTGCTATTGCTGTGAGTATTAAAGTCTTATGTTTCTGACCCAGGCATCTCATGACTGTCTACGCCTGTGCCTTGAACAGGAAGAATCTACAGAGAAAGGAACTAGGAATCAAGGAAGCATCCCCCAA
The DNA here is from genome assembly GCF_000001405.40 of Homo sapiens. Taxonomy (NCBI): domain Eukaryota; kingdom Metazoa; phylum Chordata; class Mammalia; order Primates; family Hominidae; genus Homo; species Homo sapiens. The sequence goes on from NC_000006.12 coordinate 159,467,282, forward strand.
AACATTCTGTGCCATCTTCAGATTCTCTTATGTTAATGAAACAATTTTATATAATTCTCAGGTTTTCCTCTTCAAAAGATTCAGAAGGCTGTGAGACATTTGAGAGCAATGACTATATTTTGTTTACCTTTGTGTCTGGCTTGGAATCTAAAACAATACCTAGCATAATATGGATATTTAGTAAAGAAAGAGAGGAAAGAAGGAAGGAAAAAAGGAAGGAAGGAAAGGGGGAGGGGAGGAAGGAGGAAGGATACGGAGAGCGAGGGGGAAGAAAGGAAAGAGGAAGTGCTCACTTATGTAAATACTGTTATAAGAATTTTCTATGACTATTCAATTTTTCAAAACACAGAGAAAAATCAGATATTTATAGCTCTGCCACTTTAAAGCATCAGATGAATTTATCTATGTCTTTCTTTACCCACAGGTTGAGAAGAAAATACGGGAGTGAACTGTAGCAATAAACGGTTTGTGGGTAATTTTGGTACTTTAATGTGGCTTCTAAAATGTGTACTACATGACTTAGGAAGGAATATTTAAGGAGCCCAGCTGCACTAACGTGGGTTGCTATTGTGTTATTACTAAAATAGCTGAGAGAGACTCTCTGTGCAGTCACCCTAAGTGAGTTATTTTGAGTGAGTTGCTATGGTGGTATGACCTGCATGTATGACTAAACATACAAAAAAGCCAAAAGGCCAGAAATGAAGTGTCAGCTATGAAGATGCTAGTGATAAAAGCCTACCCCAAAGCAATGACAGATACTTTGAAAATACTTTGAGGGAATAAAGCACTCTTAGGGAACACAGGGTTTGAAGTAGGACTGTGTTGTTATTATTGAGTTATTTTCCAATAATTTTCGAGAGTCTGCCACAGCTTTGAGGCCAGTCTTTTATATCATTGCCCAGGCAGGGGCTCCATAGCTCAGGGGTTAGAGCACTGCTCTTGTAGTATCATTGCCCTACACAAGTGAATTTGGGTAAAAAGGAAAACAGAAGGAACTTTAACAGGCAAGTATGGAGACTGAAGTTCCACAGTAGCCCCTAGCACCAAATAAAAGTACAACAGGTCTCAATCATCACTTCCAGGCATTGAGAGAAGAAGTGCGATTTTTGAGTCTTGACTTTTGGAATCTGCAAGAGTAAGTAAATGGCTCTCTGTGTCTGTCTGGTGCCTAGGGCCAGCTCTCTCCTCTGACACTGTCCTCATTAGCATGCTAGGTGAGCATGACAACTCCGCTAGTCAGATATCACTACATCCTCAACTTCACAGAGGTGGTCTCTCATCTACCATATTTTCTGAACACCAATTCACAGTGCAGTACTGGGCAAGCTACATAAAAATTTCCTGCGAAGTTTGTAACATTTTTTTAAAGCTAAAAATTAGAGATTCTGATTCTGGCCTGAACCTTGGGAATGTGTATTTTTTAAAAGTTTCCCGAGTGATTTTCATGGGGAATTAGTTTAAAAAACACTGGTATAGACTTTCCACTTTGGAATTTAATCAGGTTGTGTTTTTTTAAATTTCACCTATTGCTGTGTTGGGGCTACTTACCTAGATGTGAGGGCTATATGACCCCACCCCTATCAACAGCACTCCAAATACTGACCAAATGAATGAATGAATGAATGAATGAGGTTGCATTCGGAGTCAGAGGACCAAAAGGAAGAATGTCTTCTTCATGGTATGGTCCCCACATTACTTGGAAAAGAATTATAAATCCCTCTTTCTAAAGAAAGAAAAAAAGAGAAAGGCAGGCAGGCAGGCAAAAAGGAGTGAAGGAAGGAAAGAAGAAAGGAAGGGAGGGAGGGAGGGAAGAGAGAGAGAGGCAGGAGGGAAAGGAAAGAGGGAGGAATTTCATAAATATTTACATAAAATCATCTTTGTTCCTGGGAGCTGAGCCATAAATCTCTGAAGAGACCATTGGATCAGTAAGGCCTGGGAGCTGTGAGTACAGTGATAGCTGTTAGCTCTGGCCCACTCTTGAGTGAGCTGAACGTTTGAGCTATGAGGGCATCCTTCCCCCACAAAATTTCCCCAGTGAGGAGCTCGTGCACCCCATCTGTGCATCAGCCCCACTGACAAACTTTCCTGTCCGCCATCCCTGGTCCATATGGCTCAACTGGGACTCCTCTCCTGGCGGTCACCATAGTCCCCCCTTAAAAGTTTGAAGGTAGCTCAGATTCCATCTATCAGGGTGAAAACCCTGTGTCTTGCTCAGGAATATTCTTCCTCGTCAGCTGTAAGAAAAGAAACAAAAATTAATATTTACGTCCACATGCTGTTTCTTTCCATCCACCCCACCCTGAGTCACCTTTGGACTTGACCTGCTGTGTGTGGAGTCGATGACTCTGCTATAAGCAGCCCTGCTCCCAGAGCGTAGCTCCCAGCCTCTCCCCTGTAAGCACCAGTGCCCCATGCTCTGTGTGTCATACAGAAGTCTATCCCTGCTACCTGGCCACAGCATACTGGATCAGGAGTTAGTACCTGAGCAGAAAGTAGCTCATCTGGTCTTATGCTTAGGCAGCCAACCACCACCAAGGCAGCTTGGACCCAACTTTCTTCCCAAATGCTGGTTCTAAACTGACAGCAGCAAGTCAACCTGAAAAAGGGGGCTACCTCTAAGTTTTGCTTGAGAGAAAGAAAGAGATGAGGGAAGAGGAAGGGAGGGAAGAGGAATGGAAGCACTTCCACAGCAGAAGGGCTGGGCCCTGATAAATAAGTGTCTTTTCCTTTCGAATCATATGCATTGCTGAGGCAGGCCCCCTGCCTCCATTCACACTGACAGCGTTTATAAAGCCAGAGGCCCATATATACTGTATTAGTCCATTCTTGCATTGCTATAAAGAACGATCTGAGACTGAGTAATTTATAAAGAAAAGAGGTTTAACTGGCTCACAGTTCCACAGGCTGTACAGGAAGCATGGCTGGGGAGGCTTCAGGAAACTTACAATCATGGCAGAAGGTAAAGGAGAAGCAGGCATGTCTTACATGGTCACAGTAGGAGAAAGAAAGATGGTGGGAGGTGCCACCTACTTTTAAACAACCAGATCTCATAAGAATTCACTCGCTATACAGTACCAAGGAAGGATGGTGCTAAACCATTCATGATCATCCTTCCCATGATCTAATCACCTTCCACCAGGCCCCACCTCCAACAGTGGGGATTACAATTGAACATGAGATTTGGGTGGGGATACAGATCCAAACCATATCATTCGGCCCCTGGCCTCTCCCAAATTTCATGTCTTTCTCACATTTCGAAATACAATCATGCCTTCCCAGCAGTCCCTGAAAGCCTTAACTCATTCCAATATTAACTCAAAAGTCCACAGTCCAAAGTCATCTGAGACACAGCTATTCTCTTCCACCTATGAGCCTGTAAAATAAAAAAAACAGTTCGTTACTTCCAAGATACAATGAGGTATAGGCATTGGGTAAATACTCTTATTCCAAAAGGGAGAAATGAGCCAAAAGAAAGGGGCTACAGGCCCCACACAAGTCTGAAACCCAGCAGGGTAGCCATTAAATCTTAAAGCTCCAAAATAATCTCCTTTGACTCCATGTCTCACATCCAGGGCACATTAGTACAAGCAGTGGGCTCCCAAAACCTTGAGCAGCACCACCGCCGTGGCTCTGCAGGGCTCAGCCCCTGTGGATGCTCTCCAAGGACTGGTGTTGAATGCCTGCAGCTTTTACAGGTGCAAGGTGCAAGCTGCTGGTGGATCTACCATTTTGGGGTCTGAACGACAGTGGCCCTCTTCTCACACCTCCACTAGACAGTGCCCCAGTGGGGATTCCATGTGGGGACTACAACCCCACATTTCCCCTTTGCACTACCATAAAAGCAGTTCTCCATAAGGGCTCTGCCCCTGCAGGAAGCTTCTGCCTGGACATCTAGGCATTTGCATACATCCTCTGAAATCCAGGTGGAGGCTCCCAAGCCCCAACTCTTGCACTCTGTGCACCCACAAGCTTAACACTACCTGGAAACTGCCAAGGCTTATGATTTGCACCCTCTGAAACAGTGACCTCAGCTCTACCTGGGCCCCTTTGAGCCATTGCTGGAGCTGGAGCAACCAGAATGTGGGAACCAGTGTCCTGCAGCAGTGCAGGGCAGTGGGGCCCTGAGCCTGGCCCAGGAAACCACTCTTTCCTTTTAGGCCTTCAGGTCTGTGATGAGAGGGGCTGCCTTGGAGGTCTCTGAAATGCCTTTAAGGCCTTTTCCCCATTGTCTTGGCTATTAGCATTTGCCATTCTTTTAGTAATTTTCTGCAGCATAATGTAATTTTCTGCAGACTTTGAATTTCTCCCCTGAAAATGGGTTTTTCTTTTCTACCAATGGCCGGGCTTCAAATTTTCCAAAGTTTTATGTTCTACTTCATTTTTGAATATAAAGAATTGGTTCCTTTTTCAACGACCATGTGAATATAAGCCCAGGCTTTTAGAAGCAACCAGACAACATCTTGAATGCTTTGCTGCTTAGAAATTTCTTCTGCCAGACACCCTAAATCATCACTCTCAAGGTCAAAGTTCCAAAAGATCCAAAAGATCCTTAATTCTAAAGATCCGAAGATCCAAAAGGTCCAAAGTTCCAAAAGATCTTTAGTTCCAAAGATCCAAAGATTCTTAGAGCAGGGGCACAATGCCGCCAGTCTCTTTGCCAAAGCATAGCAAAAGTCACCTTTACTCCAGTTCCCAATAAGTTCCTAATCTCCATCTGAGACCTCCTCAGCCTGGACTTCATTGTCCATATCACTATCCACATTTTGGTCACGACCATTCAACAAATCTCTAGGAAGTTCCAAACTTTCCCTTATCTTCCTGTTTTCTTCTGAGCCCTTCAAACTGTTCCAACGTCTGCCAGTTACCCAGTTCCAAAGCTGCTTCCACATTTTTCAGTATCTTTATAGCAATGCCCCACCCCTTGGTACCAATTTTCTGTATTAGTCTGCTCTCACATTGCTATAAAGAACTACCTGAGACTGGATAATTTATAAAGAAAAGAGGTTTACTTGGCTCACAGTTCCACAGGCTGTACAGGAAGCATGACCGGTGAGGCCTCAGGAAACTTACAATCATTGTGGAAGACAAAAGGGAAGCAGGCACGTCTTACGTGGCTGGATCAGGAGGAAGAGAGAGGGGGGAAGGTGCCACACACATTTAAACAACTAGATCTCATGAGAATTAACTCACTATATAGTACCAAGGGGGGATGGTGCTAAACCATTCATGAGAACTCCGCCCCCATGATCCAATCTTCTTCCATCAGGCCCCACCTCCAACACTGGGGATTATAATTGAACATGAGATTTGTGTGGGGACCCAGATCCAAATCATATCATGTACTTTGTGCATATGGCTATTTGTTGGTTTAGTTTAGTTTGTGAGAACACGAAGGAGGTGGTTTTTGTGCCAGATTCAATTCTGTGCAGATTAGAGATTGTTTGAGAGGAAACTGAGCCCCCTTGGGGATTCATAGGAAGCTCAGGAGGGCTGGGAGATTCCAAAACCATGAGAGTTGAGGGTTTCAATCACTTCTACCAAGATCCACAGGAAGAGCAAGGCCACAGCCGACATCTGTATTTGTATACACATATTCATTTACTCACCCAAGTCTAGCAAGCAAGAACAGGAGGGATTTCTGGATACAGCAAGATTGGCTGAAAACGTTCTGCAGAAAGTGAATTTTGTAGGACAGGATGAACATCACTGCTTAAAGAGTAGGAGTATTTCAAGATGGTAAGTGATATCTGTAAAGGCTCAGAGTCTGAAGCAGGAATGATGGGTGAGGGCTAGTGACTAAAGCATAGCAGGTATGACCAGCATTGCCACTGAAGGATTCTCCTTGCTGCTTTAAGCAACAGGCACCTATTGTTTGTCAAGCACCCCCATTCTCCTAGGGAGGGTTTCCAACCACCCCACCTCCATCTCCAGGCTTTTCATGGATGACTATTTTCCATGACCTGCCCCTCTCCTGGTGCTGCAGTGGTTGAATGTGGAGTTCATGGTTCCTATGATGCTGATTCAGAGGCCCTGGCTTGCTGAGCACAGGAGAATGTTGCATGATGAGCAGGAAGGAGGAAGAGATTTTTTTTGGTGGCTTCTAAGTTTCTGGATTCCAGTTAGTTCTGAGATCCAGCCACTTTCCTGTTCTTGGGTTTTAGATAACCCACTTTCCTAAGTTAACCATTACTTGCAACTAAGGAGTTCTATCAAGAACAGTCCATATGAGGCCCTGGAGAGGGAAGATGAAAGAGCCCAGGGGTGACAGGAAGCCTGGCCAGGAAGGTCATATGAGTGGTCCAGGCTTGAGGAGACTGGAATCTTGGCCATAGCTGTGACAATGGGAATAAGCAGACCCAAATGGTGTTGGAGAGGACCAAGCTGTCGGAAGTGATGATGGAGTGGAGGGTTTCCCAGCATTTGGAGTGGCCACCACAGTTACATTTCCTTGTGACACCTTATTGGCTGCAGTGCTTTTATAGCAATGATGTATGGTATAACAGCCCAGTAGCTCCTGGGATGGGACCCAACAAGGAAACATGTCAGCCAAGGGCATTAATTGAGACCCAGGGGGTCTATAACTTTACCCAAAGAAGAGACCTTACCCAGCCTTTCCAAAAGGGAAATTAAGCAATTCAACTATCAATTCACCAGTAAGTCCTATTCTCTCCAAATGCAAATGCAGCTGCAAACCTCTGCAAGAAGCACCGAGGGCAGCTCCCTGGTGGCCCTGGGCTTGAGCTGAAGCATATGGCATCCAGGGAAAGCTGATCAACTGGGAGCTGAGTCCTGGAGGAGCGCCATGACAATAGGAACCAAGAATGTGTCCAAGTCAGAGGAACATTACCGCTCATTAGACAACAGCCTGTGTTTTCTAACCACCTATATAAATACTTGTGGCTCCTTCCCATGTGATCTAGGCTGCTGGTAAGCTTTTGAGAAATTTATAAAGTAGTGATCTGGACAAAACTTTTCCTTGCATAGATCTTTCCTTTGACTAAGATCCCTGACATTAGTTATTACAAATGTAAGAAGGAGTTTCTCGGAACAATGATTCCCTCAGAGCCTTTCTTTAGATTAAGGAAAAGTTTATACAGAACTTTATCCTTCCTTATATCATGGAATATAGTTTAATCATCCATCAGCAACTCCAATACCTCCAAAGAAAATGTCAGTGCCTAAGAAAAAAGAAAAAGAATTAAATCGGCAAAAGAAGTAAATAAGTTAGTTCTTTGGCCTCCCAGCAATGGATTTCAAAGTATAAACATTGAATTCCTGCATCGTCAGGATGAGCAGCTATGTTATGTTGCAGTAACAAAAGACCCCCAAAACCTTAGTGGCTTACACAAAGGTTCTTTCCCTGTTTGTGCTCCACGTCTAATGCAGATCATCAAGGGTCTCCACTCACCATTGTCACTCAGTGACCTAGGCCAACAGAGCATCTCCAATTGGTTGCAGTGCCAGAGAATAGAGGTGTGGTAACTCACACGGTCTCTTCCTACTTCCACCCAGAAATTACACATGTCAATTCCACTCACATTGCATGCTCAAAGCAATTCACGAGGCCACACCTCACTCCAGTGGGCAGTGGAGTGAAATCCCACCATGTGCCTGAGAATGAGTGAGAACCAGGAATTCTTGTTGAAAAGCACTAATGACTATCACAGTGTCTATCTTTAGAGACATCTAAACACTGAACCATTAGGTCCTAGCTATAAATGAAAAGAGAGTTTAGCAAAGAGCCTGAGATCATTGGGAAGATTTCATAGAAAAACTGGATCAAGGCTGTCCTTCAGGAAGGGGCGAGAATTAATCAGGCTGTGAGGAAGACATGAGTTACAAAATGGGGATGGCCTGGGCAAAGATTCAGAGATGGACCTGAACATGGCATTGCAGAAGATAACGAAGAAACTGGCCTAGTGTGTTCATGCAACCAGGACTCTCAGCCCCTAGACATCTATTGGGTAGCCTTGGCATCCCTGGGGTACATAGTAATGTAAACAATATGATTTAATCTGACTTATAGAACATAGAAAAATATTTCATTAGGCTTCTCTGCATAATAAAAATGGGGAGGATGACTTTCAACATACATGGAACTCTGAACACGTTCCAACTTCCTCCCAGTTCTGCTCCATCACAGCAACGTATTATAAGTTGTTAGGACCCACAGTAGTCAAAACATTTATCAGGAGAACATTTATCATCTCCATTTAGGCCTTGCATAGAATAATGCAATTTGCAGTTAGACAATCCTGGATTAACACCTCTAGAATGGTTAGAATCCCTGGGATTCCCTTTGGTAAGGGACTAGATTTAGGTGCCATAATTATTTCTAAGATTTTTACCAAAACCCAGCATAGACTCATCAAATAAATTAAAGTAGCAAATAGAAGAAAGACAAAGAATCCCATCTATAACTCTCTCCCTGTACCTTAATCATAACATGAAGCTACAAACAGAAAATGGAGAAAATCACCAGAAGCCCCCATTTTTATACAAGAAACAGCTAACTGTTGAAGAAGCTCTTATAAATCATTAAGGCGTTAACCTGGAGGAAAATATACAGTACAGAGGCAGAGGAGGATTTGAGATTAGGAAGTACTTTACCCCTTAAGTTGAGTGCTTAGTGTAGCTCATCCAAATTCTGTGTGAATGTCTACATTTTGGTCTTCCCAGTTTAGCACACAAAGTCCAAGTTTAAGAATAATAGAAAATGGCCAGGTGTGGTGGGTGGCTCACGCCTGTAATCCCGACACTTTGGGAGGCCAAGGCAGGCGGATCACCTGAAGTCAGGAGTTTGAGGCCAGCCTGGCCAACATGGTGAAACCCTGTCTCTAATAAAAATACAAAATTTGGCCAGGCATGGTGGTGTACACCTGTAATCCCAGCTACTTGGGAGGCAGGAGAATCGCTTGAACCTGGGAGACAAGGTTGCAGTGAGCCGTGATCAGGCCACTGCACTCCAACCTGGGTGACAAGAGTGAGACTCCATTGCAAAAATAATAATAATAATAATAATGATTATATATATATATACATTATATATATATAAGTAAGGTTAGATAAATAAGATGGGCCAGATTATGGCAATTCCCCAACATCTGTCAAAAGAGTAGATGCTATGTGAGAGGCAATAAAGAGCCAAGATAGATTTGGGAGCAGAAGAATGATGTAATGAAAACCCTGGTTTGGGAAGGTTAATTTGAAAACAACATGCAAGTCAATTGGAAGGGCAAGACCTGGAGTTAGAGAAGCCTCATAGAAAGATGCCATGTTTATCTGTAAATGAGCAATGGCTGGAGACCACAAATCAGAGACCCTCTTGTAAAGAAGTCTTGATAAAATAACAGATTTAGAGAATAAAAGCAAGTGAAAGATTACTCAAGGCTTTCCAACCCGAGAAATTGGAAAGAAAAAACCATCAACAGAAATTATGACTATTATGGACTGAATGTTTGTGTCTACCCAAAATGTATATGTTCAAATCCTAACTCCCAATGTGATGGTAAGGAGGTGGGGCCTTTGGGGGGTAATTAGGTTGTGAGAGTGGAGCCCTCAGGAACAGGATTAGTGTCCTTACCAAAGACACTCCAGAGAGCTCCCTTGCCTTCTTTCTGCCATGTGAAGACAAAAGGAGACGTCAGCAGCCTGCAACCTGGAAGAGCCCTGTCACCAGGACCCAGCCATACTGTCCTCTAATCTGGGAGTTCCAGCCTCCATAACTGTGAGAAACAAATGTTTGTTTTTTAAACCACCCAGTTTATGGTGCTTCGTTACAGCTACCTGAGCTAAGACAGGTACTTAGTAAAGGGAGTAATCCAGGTAGGAGAATGTCTAAGGTCAAGTCCCAGAGTTACATCTTCAGTTGCCCTGAGATCTATGGGAGTGTGTATGTTCCTAATCCAGGACAGCATATGACATTGAATAACGGGATTAACCCATCATTGACCAAAAGCATATTTCTTTAATTCTCTAGTACTGAGATATTAACATAAGAGCAGACAGTGAGCATTTCAATCAAGAAGAGAGACAGACCAAGTAAGCAGAGAACTCAGGCAGTTGTCAAATTCAACACAGTCATCATGTGTAGCAGAAACTCAGAGGTGCTCCCTTCAACTAGTGATATCTTAATAACTATTCAAGACTCAATTCTAGCATTAGATCTTCCATGAAATGTTCTCTGACCCAAGTCTTAACTAAGCACTTTTTCCTCTGTGCTTCCACTGCACACTACGTACTTAATTCTCTTACGGTTTTCCCATTGTACTGTTGGTATTTGTTTATGGGTCTGAAGTAGATGGTAGCTCTTAGTAACCAAAGACTTTGTTTTATCATCTTTATATCTATAATGGGAGTAAACACACATAGTAAACATATAATATGAATGAATGATTGAATGAATGAATGAAGAAAGGCTCAGTTAACAAGATTCCTGACTCTGATTATGATGAACTAACTTGTAACAGACCAATCCCACCAATTATGGCTAGAAAGCTGAATAAGATATGATACAATGAAAACTACAAGAAAAAGCATCTAGTTAAAGGCATTGGGGAAGCTACCAAGGCAGCCAGGACTTAGGGAACTAAGATGCTGGAGAGAAAAAAAAAAAACCCACACTGATGAGGCTGACAGTCTGCACCACTTTTCCTTTAAAGAATTTGCTAATTTATAAACAATGTTGGCAAAATGTCTGAAAAAACAAGGAGAGAGGGAATGAGAAGGTGAGCAGATCTTATGGCTGTCTCACAAAACTGTAAAGCTAAAAATTAGAATCCAGGGTTGCCAAGGCACCTAGCACTTGAGGGGCCAGGGTCCCAGAGAGAAGGGATGTACAGAGAAGTAAGCCTGATACTTGCCAAGTGTTTTCCTAAATCTTTTACAGATTTGTAATCAGTTCCCAAGAGACTGAAAAGTTATGTGCATCTTTCAGTGGCCTTATGGTGTTATGGAGATAAAAGTCAAGGCCCACCCAGGTTTTCCATTGGGACACCTAAACTGCTAAACTCTGGGATATGGGTGAACTGCAAATACACTAAGCCTCATGAAGACTGAAGCCAGTTTCTAATCAGTTCAATCCCAGACTAGAACTATTTTTAAATAATTTTATATAAATCACGTGAAGTCACATGGCTTTAGGTGACCCGCCCCTACTCTAACTGGTTGCCAAATACAAAAATTACTTCTCTCTGAAGGCAGATAACATTACCCAGAACCTCTGTAATTTTTCATAAATAATCATGGCATCTGATCAAAAATTATGATGCTAGAAAGGAAGATCAAGTGACTACAAATTAAGAGAAAAAATAGATTACAGAATGACACCCATAGGCAACCCAAATATTGAAATTATCAGATATGTAATTCAGGATAACTCTGATTGGTATGTTAAGAAAATAGGTGACAAGACGGAAAATTTAACTAGAGAAGTTAAATCTTTTTCTAAAAAATAGAAATTCTACAACTGAAATATAGTAACGGAAATTAAATACTTATGACTTTAATGGCAAATTAGATCCAGGAGAAGAGAGGATTTGTGGACTGGACGATAGTTCAGCAGAAAATATCCAGAGAAAAAAGAATGGAAAAAATACAGAAAAGGCCACAAGTTAATTGGGACATGATGAAAAGAGCTAACATACATGAGATTGGAGTCCTAAAAGGGAGAGAAAAAAATGAGGCCACAGCAATATCTGAAGATTTAGCGGCAAAGAATTTTCCAAAATTGATGAGAAAAACTTCAATCTCATATTCAGAAACCGAACAATTACCAAGCAGGATAAATCTCAAATGTCACACCATGCAAAACTCTTGAAAACCAAATTAATTGGTTGCCAAGTTGACAAATTTCATTCTTACAGTAGGCTTCTACTAAGTGAAGTAAAGCAATCTTCTAAAAATGAACCTTCTTAATTTTACCCTACCAAAATATGACTGACTAAAAATTTTTCAAATTTACTCCTAAAAAAAAATCTCAAAATTTCTTGTTACATCAGAGCATATGTTTTAAACACATGGATCACATCCAGCTTCACTCATTATTCATACTCAATCTTTTCCATTCATACCTCTGCAGCAACAGAAGGTCTATAAAATATTCAGCAGAGCACACAGTTGCTAAGTGAACATAATTTAAACAAGAGAACAAAGAGGTAGGCTCTGAACATTTCCCAAGATTGATGCAACAAGGTGAGATACATATACCTGCAAGAGAAGATGAAATGGCTAAAAGAGAGTTAAAAGTTGGTCTTGGAATATGTGTATGTTACACATACAATGAAACAGATACATACAATAAAATTGTATGTATTAGATACATACAATAATAATTTTTTTGAGACAAGGTCTTGTTATATTGCCCAGGCTGGACTCTTAACTCCTGGGCTCAAGCAATCCTCCTGCCTCAGCCTCGTCTGTAGCTGGGACTACAGCCTCATGCCCCTGCCCAGCTTACAGTCATAATTTTAAGAATAATAATAACAATAGTTTAGTTTCAGGAGCATCAGCTCTAGAATTTAGGAAAAATGAAGATTTTAAAATAATTTTATATAAATCATGTGAAGTCACATAGCTTTAAAGGAAATGCAAAAAATTATTTCCATTCTAAACTAATCTAATGAATTGTTACCCCATCATTAGCTCTTATAAAGCAATTAATCATAAGAACTGAATTTTTGCTTCTCTAAGGCATCTATATTTTAGATTTTGTTAAAAGAGCATTGATCCTGTTCCTCTACGATTTCATTATAGCTCTTCACTTTTATTCCTTTCAATCAAAAATGATAAACATAAACAAACCTGAGAGCTGACACGGTATTACAGGTTTTCAAAACAGCTAGGCTAATCACCTCATCATGTCAGATCAGTAATTTCGAAGAGCACCATGACTACAGAGAAGACTGCTATGAAGGTGTGTGCACATACACAATTTTAAGTAATGTGACAGCTTTGTCACAAAATGTGTTTTTCTTGAGAAGATGAATAGAAATCTATGTTCTCATCTGCTCCAAAGAATGGGCCAGTTTGTACACGTGGTTGCCAATTAAATCTTAAGACTCTTTCAATTTTAGAGAAAAATAGAATGCTATAACTTAACCCTTTCCTCTTTCATCCCAAAAGAGAACATTCAGAAAGTACCAATGCTGAGTATTTCATGTTTTTGATATAATTTATCACAGTTCATAACGCACGTCTTTTTTCCAGAAAACGAATTACTTCACCTATCCCCTATGAAAAGAAATTATGACTAATACTCTGAATACCTTCTTGAGCACAACAGTTACATTTATGGAATGTGAGAGCCAAAATAGAGTGACACAGAATGGAATGGGGCTTTAGGGCATGGGGACAGCAGAGGGCCCGCCACCCTTTTGACTGTAATGCTGAGAAAATATTCATCCCTAATCATGATCCCAAGCCATGCGGGCGCATTTCGTGAGCTCCCTCAGGTGGCTAGGCCTCCAACTAAGTACCTGGGTTTGCATCTCACACAGCACGGAGTCCCTGCACTCAAGGATTCTATAGACCAGAAGAGAGAAAAGCCACAGAATATTAAACGTGAGACACAGACATATTTCCACTCCATCCACTCTGCACCGTGGGCAGACACAGGTCTCTATGTGTGTCAGCCTCCTATTGCAGGTCCATCTTCCTGAGGCCAGCTCTGCCTCTGACTTGCTATGTAATTGACTATAAGGTAATAAAACAAAAAAGGGACAGTGCTTGTATGTCCAAATGCATCAAAGTCATCCAGTTGGGATGCTTCATGAAGCTGTGTACTTAGGACAGCAAGACTGGCGTCCCCAAAAGAGTCTAGCCATGGTCGTGGCCACGATGATGGCCTCAATGGTTACCACGATACACTGACACTTGCCCATGTGGGGTGGGCTTGCTGGGAGGGGAGGAAGCCCAGAGGGGTCAGTTCTGAGGCTACAGGAGAGATGGGGAATAGTGGAACAGAGTAGGGGGCAGCCCGCACCATGGGTGCCCAGGGCATGGGGAGCACAGGCCTACTGTCTCCTGTTTTGCCTCCTTGGTTCTTTCTCATCTTGGTAAAGAGTGGCAGGATTTATTGTTCCTCCCTAACTTTCACAGGCAATCTTCTACTCAGGTGTTTTTGTTTCTCCCTCTCTCTGTCAAAGACTCTTTTTTCAGGTAGTTCTGAAACTTTGCAAAAAGGATGCGTAGGTGTGGGCTTTTTTTTTTTTTTTGTCATCATGCTGGATGACCAGAATACACTTCTTTTTCTGGCTGGTCACATTCAGTTCTGGAAATGTGTTCTTAATTTTTTAAATTTTTAAAAATTTGATTTGTTTCTCCCTTCCATCTTTCCTCTTTCTGAAATGTCTACAATTTGGATGTTCTGATGTGATCCTCTATTTATCTCTCTTCTTCCCCCACTCACTTTTCCTCTCCTTGTCCTTCCATTTTTCTTTCTGGATATGTGTCAACTTCACCAGCTAATTTTTTTATTTTTGGCTATCATATATTGGGATGTCTAAATCCCTTTTCTTGTTATGTTTGATTCTTTTCTATAGCATCCTATATTTGTTCCCCGTAAGTAGTTTCTTCTCTCATCTCTCTGAAGTCATTCGTTACATTTATTTTCTTAATTTTATTTTGTACCTATGTTGTCTGTTTCCTGTGGTGTTTTTTCTTTCTGTTTGAATCTCTGTTACTCAGTTAAAGGCTTTATATAGATGCATGGTTAGTCTTGGCTGTCTCTTCATATTTACGAATGAGACCCTAAGAAGAATATTGGATCCATTATAAGAGCAGGGCTTAGAGCCAGACACAGTGGTACATGCCTGTGGTTCCAGCTCAGGAAGCTGAGGCAGGAAAATTGCTTGAGCCCAGGAATTTGAGGCTGTGGTGCACTATGATGGCACTACACTCCAGCCTGGACAACATAGAGAGAATCCAGCTCAAAATAAAATAAATAAATAAAAATTTAAAAATAAAATAAAAAACAAAAGAAAAGCCTGGCTTACAGACATGGCTTTACTGTAGAATGATTTTCACTGAAGCACTAAATGCCAATATTGAAATTATTTCATCTTGGGCCAGTGTTCTGAAAGAGGAGTCTTTTGATCTCATATTTCGGGTTGTAAGCCCAACTATCAGTCTTGGGGGTTGAAGTGAACTGGAGATTCTATAATTTGGGATGTTTATTTTCACTTTATCCCTATTTTTCAGTATCAATTCCATATCCACACCCCTCAACTACACTTGATGTCTCCAAATCCAGAGCTTATTCAGTTCAAAGTGCCCAAAAAGTAAACCTCTCACCTTGTCTCAGAATGAGAAGTATGTGATTGTCTCCTTATATGAGGTGAAAGAAGGAATCTGAAGCCCGAATTCTCCGTAACAACTTGACCTCAGTAGTTCTGTTTTCAGCCCACCTGCGTCCTGACACAATGCTCTGATTCCTGAGTTTTTCCAGAATTCTATGACAAGAAAATTGTGTTTTCTACCCCGTCTCCCACCCCTCTCAAACTTCCATCTAGAGCTTAGGTAGTAGTCATTTCTGGGATTTAAGCCATTTATTTTTCTTCATTTTTCTTTCCAATTTTCAAAGTACCGACTTCTAGCTGCAGAAATTTTCCTCTTTTTCTTTTAATTATTGTGGGTTTATGATGTGTTATTCCTTCACTATCATTTTAATGGGACTTCAGAGGGGAGATAAAATAAATAGTGTGTTCAAACCTGGTTAACTGGAAGTCTGTTCTCACTTATTTTTAATATGCATTATATTAGGTAACTTAACTATATCTGGAACAAAGTGAAAAGAGAGGGAGAGAGAACAGGTGATAAGGGACAAAGAAGAGAGAAAATAGGGGGGAAAGGGAGGAGAGGAGAAAGAAGAAAAATAGACACAGAAATGGCTACAGGCCTGGCCCAGGCCAGCATTGGCATTTACAGGAGACCAGGGTGGTGAGCAGGACCAGCATGGTGAGTGCAGCTGGCCACATCTCACTCACTGCTTTCGTGCTTAAAATAAATAAGACGTCTTATCCTAGATTGGTGGATTAGAAATCTAATTCTCAGTGTTAACATTCTATAGTTAGTTCCAAAATGGAATATTTTTGAGTTAAAACAGTTTGACCCCAGGGCAGTCGAAAATCTGCTCTAGAAGGAAGTAGGCACAAGAGGAAGCACACACAGTGCCATACTATTTCTGGGCTGGGCTGGGCTCACTGAAAGCTTTTCAAGTCTTACTCTGTGACATTTACAGAGAAGTTTCAAGAATGCTTGACAGAACAGGCTTTCAAAGTGTCTTTCTTTTTTCATCTACATTTATGTATAACCAGGGTAGAATTATAGTTCACTACTGACCCAAAAAACATGACACTGGGGGGTGAACTTACTCTATGGGCTCAATCAGGCTGGGCTACCCAGGGAAACAGTATTGAAGAGAGTAAGACGCAGGGAGGGCTGCATCAACATGACTAAGAAGACCTGTCCCTCTACACAGCTAGATCCTGCTAAAATTGCCTTTGCGCTATTTTTAAAATATGGCTGAAGGGAAGCCTCTAAAAACAAAATGTTGTTTTCAAAAAGTCTTTGAGCTGAAATCCGAACAGGAAACCATGAGCTTTCAACAAAGGCATCAGCCATACTAATCTCTGGAGTAACATCCCCAGTTGAGGCTCTCAGGATTCCCACATATGAAGTGCAAAAAAACGTGAGCTCACAATCAAAGATTAAATTCACAAAGAAAAAATTACCATGATTATGTGTTTAAAGAAAGAAAAACAACATGAGAACTCCCCCATACAAGGTCTTCAGATATTAAAATCATTAGACAGATAAACTCTGTAGAAAACTATTTGAAGGCATGAAATATAGAATCATAAACATTTAAAAATTCATCAAAAGACTGTTTAAAATGATGACAGATATTTTAGAAATGAAAAATATATTTGTTGTAAATAAGAAATTGTTAGAGTCCTCACAAAAATAACCAGGAAACCTGGTGTCGACAAAGCAAACTGAGTTTACTCACATTCTTTCCAGTAAGGAAGGATAAGGTCTCAAAAACAGCTTGAGAAACAAAGTCAAAGGGGAATTCTTACAGCACTGGGCCTGTGTTTAAGGTTAGAACTCAGGTGATTTGTGGGTGGGTTTTCAAAAGGAGATAAATAAATATTGGGTGCAACAGTCAAGAGCCAGTGACTTTTAGGTGTTCAGGAGCACAGAGAAGGGTCTTCCCAGCAAGTTGTTTAGTGGAGCATCCTATTGTCTTATCACTCCAGAGCAGGCTGGGCAGTGGAGCTGCTTTGTAAATTTCCACTTGTTGGTTAATTCAATTCTTTTTTCTCAAACTCCTCATGGATTCTTCAGAAGACTGGACAAAGCTAAAATCAGAATTAATTAATTTAAAGATAAATTAAAAAAAAAACCTAGTCAGAATGCAATAAAGAGAGTCAAGGATAGAAAATATGAAAGGATGGAAGCGATGTTAGGAGACTTGCCAGACACCTAACCAAAGTCCCAGGTGAGAAGACAGGGAATCCATGGCCAGGCATGGTGGCTCACTCCTGTAATCCCAGCATTTTGGGAGGCTGAGACAGGAGGATTCCTTGAGCCCAGGAGTTCAAGACCAGCTTGGGCAACCTGGCGAGACGCCATCTCTACAAAAAATTTAAAAATTAGCCAGGTGTGGTGGTGCATGCCCGTAGTCCCAGCTACTCAGGAGACTGAGGTGGGAGGATCATTTGAGCCCAGGAGGCAGAGGCTGCAGTGAGCCGAGAACACACTACTGCACTCCAGCCTTGACAACAGAGTGAGACCCTGTCTCACAAAAAAAAAAAAAAAAAAAAAAAAAAGAAAAGAAAAGAAAAGAAAAGAAAAAAGACAGAGAATACAGATGAGGCAAAATCTGAAGATATGGCTGAGTTTTCCAGAACTGATAAAGGACACAAACCCTAAGATGTAGGAGGCACAATTAACATAGCAAGATATATAATAAAAATTTCACACATAAACACTATGCAAGGAATGAACCAAAGCAACAGTGAACAGAGATCGACAACAAAGAAAAGCAACTGGGCTGACAGACGACCCTTTAGCAGGAGCAATGGGAGCCTAAGGATAGTCAAAGATAGCTTCAGAGTAATGAAAAAATAAATTCACTCTCAATCTTGAATTAAATATTCAACAAAATTACCTTTTAGGGAAAAAGAAAAAATAAAAATGTATTCAAATAATTAAGGAGTGAGAGAATTTACTGCCAGCAAAACTTCACCAAAGTAGCTTCAAAAGTACATAGATCAGGACAAAGGAAGGTAACACCAGAAGAAAGGTCAGAGCAAAAAAGCCATTGAGCAAAACAATTATAAAACATGAGATAAAAGAACATCCAGGAAAGATGTTTCATTCTGTTTCTTATTTCTTGAATGTTTATTTATTTATTTTTTTAATTTTATTTTTTTTGAGATGGACTCTTGCTCTGTCGCCCAGGCTGGAGTGCAGTGGCGCGATCTCGGTTCACCGCAAGCTCCGCCTCCCAGGTTCGTGCCATTCTCCTGCCTCAGCCTCCCGAGTAGCTGGGACTACAGGCGGCCACCACCACGTCTGGCTAACTTTTTTTTTTTTTGTATTTTTAATAGAGGTGGAGTTTCACCGTGTTAGCCAGGATGATCTCGATCTCCTGACCTCGTGATCTGCCCACCTTGGCCTTGAATGTTTATTTTAAATCAGTATTACATTGTTATTAACAATGTTTCTTCATTTATTTAAATGATCTCTCTCCTTCCTCTCCTTTCTCTCACCATTGATATTTTGAATAAATAAATAATGGTCTGAATAAATAATGGTAATGCTTAAATTATGCAAAAAAAATAGAACTCAAATAACGGGCAATAGCAGCATGCAAATTAGGAAGGGAAATTGGTTTTAAAGTCTTTGTATTGTTCAGCATGGTGGTTGCAAAAGTTTAAGATATTAATAAACTTTAAAATTTGTTAAGTGTGCATGGCAAAAGTTCAAGGTTAACCACTAACAGAAAAATAAAATAGTTTATAACTTCCAAATAAGAGAGAAAAGACAGAATGAGGAAACAACAAACTCAATATATTCAAACAAAGGCAAGAAAAGAGAAAAAAATAAGAGAAGAAAATAAGATACAGACAATTTTAAACAACACTATTAAAAGCTTTATTTAAAAGGCATAGGTAGAACCCTATTATCAAAAATTAAAGAATAAGAAAAGAAGTGATTGAAGTGATGGATATCTCACTTCCCCTGATTTGATAATTATACATGTATCATGTCAAAATGTCATATGTAACACAAAAATATATACAACTATAATATATCAGTCCTTTAAAAAAGATTTTTTGTAACAATTAAAGAATGAATATGCATCCTTCTTAAGCACACACAGAATATTTTTTAAATTCCACATATTAATCTATAATGCAATCATCAGGAAAATTCAAAGAATTGGTAAAAATACAGACCATATTTTCTTACCATGTTGGAATTAAGTTAGAAGTCAATAATTTAAAATAAATATTTTAAATCTCCAAACATTTGGAAATTTTGAAGTATCTTCTAAATAAATCATAGTTCAAAAAAGTTATAATAAAAATTTTTCATATTTGTAACTAAATAATAATAAAAACACTATATATTGAAACTTGAGAGATATAGCAAAATTAGTGTTCTCAAGAAAAAGTATAGCTGTAATGTATATATTTGAAAATAAGGAAAATCAAAAATTAATAAACTAAGCATCCAACTAAAGGAGTTAATAAAGAATAATAGAATAAACCCAAAGAAAGTAAAAGGAAGGATACACCAAAAAAAAATGACAAAATAAGGAAGCCAATAGAAAAAAAAGACACAATAGAGAAAATCAACAAAACCAGAGACTAATTTTTTTAAAAGAATAATAAAATACACAAACTTCATAGGTGATGAATGTCAATTAGCTTGATGTAATCATTTCAGATTGTACTCGGCTATTATAACATTACATTGTACCCCATAAATATATACAATTGTACTTTTTCAATAAATTTCTGAAAAGGAAAGAATGCACAAATAAGCAATTTAGGAATAAAAATGGAAATAGAGCTTTAGATTCAAGACAGAGTTAAAAGATAATAAGACACTTTTAAAAACTACTCCATGCCAATACATTTGAAAACTTAGACAAAATTGACAAATTCCTAGAGAAACAAAACTTTTCAAAGCTGACTTGAGAGTAAGTGGAAGATCCATAGTCCTATACCCATTACAAAAATGGAATCTTCAGTTAAAAAAAAATCTAACTCCCAACAAGATAACAGATCCAGAGAACGTATATCCATATTCTGCCAAGTCAAGGAATAAATCATTCCTGTTTTTGCTATTTCAGAGAAAGGAAACAGTAGTAATATTTCCTAATGCATTCTATGAACACAAGACGTCTTGATACCAAAAGCAAATTAGGACAGGGCAAGAAAGAGAAAGGCCAGTCTTGCTCATTGTGTAGACATAAAAATCCTGAACAAAAATTAAGCAAATGAAATCCAACCATATATAAGTAAGATTAAGACATCATGGGTTTTTCTCAGGAAATGAAGATGTGACTCAACACTAAAAACTCTGTAATTGACCACATTAAAATATCAATGGTAAGAGAAAGGAGACGAGGGGGAGAGAGATCATCTAAATAAATGCAGAAACATTGTTGATAACAATGTAACACTGATTTAAAATAAACATTCAAGAAAACAAGAAATAGAATGGAACTTCTTTCCTGGATGTCCACTCCAAACCTATTATAGGAAACATAATTCTGAACAATGAAACATTCGAAGCATTCCCTTTACACTCAGATACAAGACAAAGGGGCCACTATCATCACTTTAATGAATAAATACTGGAGATCCTAGCCAGTAAGAGAAGGAAAAGTGATGCCAGGTGTGTAAGCATTGGGAGTTATTTACTTCCACTGCACACCATATACTGTAGACTCTTGCCTAGTCATAGTCATGAGTCTAGTCATTCATACATTAGACTCTTGCCCAGTCTTCAAATATACCACATATTATCATAGCTCCACACTTTCATTTATTCTGCTTCCCCTCGCTGGGATGCCTTTCTTCTGTTCCTTCAAGATGTAGCCTAAATGTCAGCTCCTCTGTGAATCCTACTCCATCAAGGCAGAATAAACCAATCCCTTGTTAAAAATCTTCACAAAGATGATGGCGTAGGAGAGGCTTGGGATTCTCCCGAATAGATTGGTGGGCTTGGGGTTCATCTCATTGTCACCATCACCACTTCCACCTTCACTAATTGTTCTGGCCAAAATTTGCTCATCTCTGAAACTTTAAGTCTCTGCTACAAAAATGAGCTATGCAGCATCCTAATATGTAATATGCCCTTCAACCCAGTGTCAGCTGGACATCTGGGGCAGAGGACACATGGAAGTGCCCAGGCAATGTGACATGGGGTGCAAGTCCCAAGATTTGAATCAGTGTGGTCCCTGCTGAGAGCTGAGCAGGTGTTCCTCCCCTAGATTGCTTCACCAGCCACAGGGCTCTGGTTAGGGGACAAGATTGCACCAAATGTTGGCATTAAAAGTTTCCCTTCATCTCCCCTTTTCCTGAAGCTTATCATGACACACATGTTGAAGCCTGTAAGAAAGAGAAGCTTTGATGCATTGAGATGCAGACACAAACAGATCTCCCCAGAGGGGATTTATGACATAGGCAACTCGAACATGTCTCATAGTGGGGAGGGTTTTCCTTCCCATATCTCTCTTCTGTTCCCACAGTGCTTTCCCACCTGTGAAACAAGGGCCTGGACACAACCAGAGGTTGGTTTCCTCCTAGAAAGTTTACCTCTGAAAATTGGTCAGCTAGATGGATGGGGAAAAAGGGAGTAGGTTCAATCATCAGTTTGCATTCCATTTTCCTGCACCAGAGCCCTGAGAAATGATGGTGGATCTTCACAAAGAAAAGCTGACACCTTCAGGGAAAGTGTTCACCTGTAGCCTTAATGGCCTCTTGCCCACAAATCCAGCAGCCAGCTTCCTACATTGTCTTGGGGTCTCCATGTTCCAATTCTGGGAGAGGGAAAGCAATGAGAAGATGTCATTTATCCAAAATAATTTGTAGGGGACTTTTTTTTTTCCATCTAGCCATCAACGAAAATCATTGACAACCTACTTGTAACTGGCATTGTCCTGGACATCATGAAAAAGTTCAAAGAAGGGCATGGCCCTTCCCTTAGCAGGCTCAAGGACTATCTGGGAGGGTTGGCTGGTGTATCAATCAAGGTTCAATCAGGAAAACACCATGTTTTAGGGATAAGAGATTTCACTAGAATTAAACCTCACATAAATGTGGAAGAAGCTAAAGAAGTGAAGACTTGGAAGGCAAAGTTGGAGGATCTAAGAAGAGTCACCAACTAGACCTCCTCATTCACTGGCACGGTAGAAAATCTGAGCTTGCAGGGAAATCTAAGAAACCAAGGGCGGGCAGCCTCCCCTTGAGACCACAAATGGGGGCTTGTGGAGAGGGGTCAGAGAAGCTGTGCCTCAGTCACATCCACCTCTGTGGGTCCCCACTCTGGTGCTGGGCTTTGAACTGCTATTGGTCAGCGGGCCAGCAGTTTGGAAGAAGGGAATGAAAGCTAGCATACCTGGGAGGCCCGGGCAGCTCTGCATCTCTCACCAGACATGGTCACAATGGATTTCTGAGAGTAATGGTCACCACTTTAGCCCTGCCTTCCAAATTTCACATAGATCTCTGTTAGCCAAGTCTAACCTGGGGAAGGGGATTCAAGGAATGGTGCAGCTCCCCAGTTTGACCAAGTTGAGCCAGAACAATCTCGCACTTTGACCCAGAAAAATCTTAAACAGCTGGCAATGGAAAACAGTTATTGAGTGAAGAGCAAGGCTTGAAGAACCCAGGAAAGAAGGCAGACAGGGTTCATGGAAGCTTCATGAAGGAGATGCAGCTTTAACTGGGCCTCAGAGAAAGAATATGATTTAGGTCAATGGGGAGAGGAGAGAATGTGCAAATATCTCCTGCTTAAACACGCTTCTTCCTGTACTTTGATTTTGGCTTAGAAGTGTATAAACCTTTCACAGGACACTAACAGGAACCAGGAGACCCTGAATCTGGGACAGAGACAAATGAAGAGGCTTCATCTCCTAGGTTTTGACTCTGTCCTTGGGAAAGACTGACCCCATCTCCTGCTGCTCAGACACATGGACTCACCCCAAGTGGAGCAACAGGTTTGTCCAACAGCCAAAGCTTTGCACGCCCATTTGTTTCTGTGTATCCTCGGAGACTGTTTGGCATGCCTGCTCAAGAACAAAAGTCCACTTTAAGAAGAATGAATCCCGTCTGGTTGCTTCTTAAGGACAAATTTTAAAATAAAGACAGCTTTTAAAAACAAGTAGAGCTTTGTTCTTCACTGACCTCAGCAAGATGTCTGTCAACACCTTTGCGTGGTTGCCTGGCTTAGCAGGTCTGATTAACAGTGGCACCTCCCACAGAGAGACAAGTGTGGGGAAGGGACGTGGAACTGGTGAGCTTTTGTTGTGATAGGAGGAAAAGGGCCCACCACCCAAGACATTCCAGCCAGGATCAGGGGCTGGGGTGGTGGCCATGTACCTGCCAGGAGGAGGGGCTGCATAAAGGAGGTTGGTGCTCAGAGGGAGCGGAGGTCAGAAAGGGAGGAAGTGGCAGCTGGTGAAGAAATGGGCTCTCCAAAGGTGAACTACAACCCTTGACAAATAAAGTCAGCACTGTTGGGAAGTATCCCAATGCCTCGGAAGCCTTCAGGTTAGAAAGTTCTTCCAGACATCTGTGTGGCTTAGGAGTATAGAAGAGCTTCCTCTTGTTCCTGTCTCCTTCTAAATTGCATCTCCTCATTTGTGGGAAAGTGAGGAGTTTCCCACAGGTGCAAAGAAACATCACAAGATTTCCTCTAAGCTATCTTTTTATTATTTTTAGGTCCTCTCCTGTAGATGGTCAATGTTTCAATAGCCTGCTTCAGCTGTGGAACACGAAACTGAGAGGAGAGGTTTCCCTTTGCTGACCCCACAGATCTTTACCTTGCAAATGGCATTATATTTTAAGCTTGGTGCTATGTTGCTAACTAAAATGAGAAAATCAATGTTATCATGCTTTTTGAATGGTGCCATGGAATACTGAGGTGTTTTGTGTCCCATTAGGCCACTAACATCTGATTCATTTCCAACTTCAGAAAGAGCCTCACCCCAGTTGCATCCTTGGAAAATCAGTCTTTCCTCCTGATGTCAATGATTTTGGACCAGCTTTCTCATTTTCTTCTTTTTTTAAAGGAAAATTGGGTTTTCATCAAATGGTTCTCCTGTTTTTTCATAAACAAGCAGTCTAAGTTGACTGTCAGACTAGCTGGCACATGGCTGTTTGGAGACACACATGGGTCCCCCTACCCCGGGAGAAATGCAACCCCACAGAGTTCTGTATCTTGCCATTGGCAATGTTGGACCAGGGGCCAGTGTGAGAACCCCACAGATTCCAGCCTCTGGGATGGGGGCTTGTTTTCATGCCAGGGTACATGCCCACACTGCCCCTGAGGACCCAGCCCATGTCATGTCTGCCCGGGGACCTGTCCTACGCCTATGACCCCTGCTGCATCCAGGACCCACCTCACTCACAGGCAGAGTCCCTGCCTCAAATGTAATTTGAATTGTTAGAGGAATGAGAATGTGTCAATTTACAACTACTCGTTGAGTTTGCTCCTTCACCCACTACTGAAGAAAAGAAAAACACTCCTTGGAAAAGTAACTTGCTGAGGTCCTTTTCCAGAATGACTGACAGGTGGGCAGCCTGGGAACATGGTGAGCACATGGGAGGGCACCGTGTCTGCTTCTTTCTGTTCTCAACATCCAATTGGTTCCTCACCAGTCCCAGGCCATTCTCCATAAAGCAGCCAGAATTGTCTTTTGAAAATTCAAGTAGAGGCCAGGCACAGTGGCTCATGCCTGCAATCCCAGCAGTTTGGGAGGCTAAGAAGGGAGGATCAATTGAGGCCAAGAGTTAGAGGCTGCCATGAGCTGGCATCATGCCACTGCACTCCAGCCTGGGAAACAGAGTGAGACCTGGATTCAACAAAAAGAAAACTGTAAGCAGGATTATGTTATTCTCCTGCTAAAACCATCCTGTGGTTTCCCTGTCCTTGGCATAAAAGAAGAGCTTGTTCCCAGGGCCTGCACATGGCTATATGTCCCGGCCCCCAAGCCCACTCCCAACCTCATCCCACCCCAGTCTCCCCCCATCACCTGCCACTGGAGCCTCCTTAACTTCCTTGGGTTCCTCCACCCCATCAAGGCATTTCTCCAGTCGGGCCTCACACATTCTGTCCCCTGCTGGGACCCACCCCTTCCCTTCTCTGTCATTCTGGCTAATGCCACAGCCTTAGAGAGGCACCGCCTGACCCTTGAGCTTTCACCCCTGCCATCGCCAGCAGGGATGACCCCTGATCCCTTCCTTTTCTCGTCTGTGGTGTTTCGTGCCTCTTTTTCATGGAATTTATGGCAACGCTCCATGACATTGGTCTGTGTTTGCCTAGGTATCCAGGCTCTGTCTCTCTCAGTAGAATGGAAGCTTCAAGTGACCAGACATTGTGTCTGTTTTGCCGACCAGGGTTGACCTAGTGCCTAGTACAGCAACTGCCACCTAGGAAGTGCTCAGTAATTCTTTGTGGAGTGAATGAATAAAGGAAAGGACAAGGGGTACAGCCTGGATTCCAGCATCCTGCTCCACCCATGCCATGAGGTGCCCTTGAAGGCCACACTCTTGGCCTCTCCTTCGCAGACTCAGGCCTGGGGTGTGTGGTGATGTCAGCTTCTGTCTACCAGGCCAGAAACCTGCCCTCACCTCCACCCACAAGGAGAAAGTGCAAGAAATCTGAACGTTTTGGAACAGGAAACTCCAACTTTATAAGAGAGCTCTATGTCATGCAGCCGAGGCATTCTGGTGAGAACCACCGACATCGGGCCTGGAGGCCCCAGCAGCGTCTCCTCACTCACATCCCTACTGAGCGACCCAAGGATCCTCGGAAGCAAAAAGACCCTCACGGTCACATGAAGGTCACTGGCAGTCCATTCTAGACTCCCAGGCTCCAGACCCCTGGAACTGTACACTCTGGGAAAGCTTCTCTGTCCCTCTCAGTCAGTCCCTCCCGTCCTGTTATTCGGGTCAGTGCTTCTGATCCCAGGAGAGACATTATTTTTATTTTCCAAGCCATTATTCACAGTAAGCCCTGACTTCAGAATGACTTTTGAGACATAACAATTTAAGATTTAGAACAATATTGATAGAGTCTATACAATGATATTTCCAGGTCCCATTGTGGAAACAATGTTTCCACCATTTCCACTCTAAATATTTCACTTTTGGAACATCACTCCAACAAGAAAACATTAGGCTCGTTGTGTGAATAGGTGCGCCTGAACACACTTGGACAATCTGAGTATCTCTCCTCAGGGACTCCA
Organism: Homo sapiens; assembly: GCF_000001405.40. Taxonomy (NCBI): domain Eukaryota; kingdom Metazoa; phylum Chordata; class Mammalia; order Primates; family Hominidae; genus Homo; species Homo sapiens. The sequence continues at coordinate 159,493,773 of NC_000006.12, forward strand.
CGGGCCAACAGGGTGTGATTTGGGAGAGCGAGTCTCAAAGACCACTGAAAATGAATCAATGATTTCGCAGCTACAAAAGAAATGAGTAGAATTTTCTAGCCACAAGAAGTAAAATAAGGCAAACGAATTAATTTGTAAAATATGCACGGAAAAGGTGATTAGGACCCATTTTTAATAATAATACTATTCAGAAACAAAATGTATCTCACACAAGCAGACTAAAATATTTTCATATGCAATAGCAAAAATGGAGATTATTGGCCCCTGGAGCTCCTTGGGGATTATTTCAGAGCAGCCTATGAAGAAACCTTTGGAACCGAGTCCAGCTAACAGAAAACATCTGTTTGGGCATCTCTCAATTATAATATGTCACAGGGGGAAAACCTGGGATTTAGAAATACCAATTGACATGAAAACTGGCCATTTCTGATTTAAACATTTTGTAGACTTCTTTGGCAAAAATAGCTATGACGATCCTTTAAATTTATCTCTTTGCCTAACAATATTTGTCTCTTCATCTCCTTATGTGGTAAATAAAGTAACTAGACACATAAAGAAAGAATAATAGTGAGGCCAGGTTCAAAAACATGTCCCTATTAACATGGAATGAAAGGAGGAAATTGAGTGACCTGAACTGACATTGCTGGAAAATCTTAGTCATATAATGAGAGTCACTGACTAATTTTTCAGGTGGAAGAAGCAAGGAGGGAGCCAGGAAGCTGCATCTTCTCTCCTTTAGAACAACCTGAAATCCCACGTTGCCTTCCACTTGCCACACTTTGCCCTTCCTCCCAACACAGCTCAGCCCCCGTCCCAAGCACCCTAGCCCCCAGAGCTCCCTTTCCTCACAGTCCATTGAAACTGGGCTATTTCTGATGTCACCAATGATGACCTGATTGACAAATACAGTGCACGTCACACCTCCCGCTATGACCTTCATACCGTTTGGAATTCCCTCCTTCTTAACAGATGTTCCATCTTCTTCCCCCAACCCCCATTGCAGTTGGTCATTCGACCTTCACCCCATAAATAGTGGTGCTTTCCAGAGCTCAGCCATCTGTCCTCAGCTCCCCACCCACTCCATTCCTGATGTCATTGCCTTGGTTCAGGCCCTGATCCTTCTCGCCTGGATGGCTGCAACTGTCTCCCCACTGCCCTTCCCTACCCCACCTCATCTCCTAATTCTTCCCTAGATTGAAGCCAGGGCAATCATCCTAAAGGATAATTCTGTTGTGCCACCTCCTCACCCCTGCCTTACCACCTCCAGTGGTCCCCTTGGCTCTCAATGTAAAGCTCAAATTCCTCAGCCTACCCTCCCTGAACTGGACCCTGCTGGCCATCCCAGCCTGCCATCCTGCCGTCCCCTACAGAGGCGATGCCCTTTACTACAGCAATTCTGGCAGTGAACAGACTCTGCCCTCAGTGCTGTCCTGGGTATGTGCTGCTGTCCGCCTGGGATGGCCCCTTCCCTTCATCACCCCCTAGCTCCCTCTTATTTAAACCACGTTGGATCTGTCCCCTTTGTTCATTCTCAAGATTGGCTATTTGTGCCTTCTTTCCGTTTTTATTCATCAGTCTTACCAATGATTTCTCTATTTTAGTTAGCTTCCCAAAAAACAACGTTTGGCTTTGTTGGTGTTCTCTATTCTATGGGTGTTTTATTTCATTATTTTCTGACCTTGTTTTTATTATTTCCTTCCTTCTAATTTATTTGCATTCATTTTGGTGTTCTCTTTCTAGTTACTAAAAGATGAATACTTATTTCATTCAGTGTTTTTTTTTAATCCCAGATACTTTGAAAATATACATATATTTTCAAATATATATATAACATGTATATAATATAAAATTATGTTTTAGAAATATATATTTATAGAGATTTATATATAGAGAATGTATATATTAGAAAGTATATATATTTATATAGTTTTTTCTTTTTTCTTTTTTCTTTTTTAGTTTTTAAACCTAGGGGGATTTTCCAGTTATATTTTTGTTATTGAACTGCGGTCCCATCACATATCCTATTTTTAATCTTTTAAAATTGTTGAGACTTGCTTTGTAGCCCACTATATGGTAAATTTTTATGGCTTTTCACTGTATACTTGAAAAGTAAGTGTATTCTCTTATTGTTTCTTGCTGTGTTTTATTTACAGGCATACAGCCAGTCCTCTATATTCCTGGGTTCCACATCTGCAGATTCAACCAACTGCAAGTTGAAAATACTCAGAGATAAAAATTCCAAAGACCTTTTCTGATTAAAAAAAAATTTCCCAAAGTTCCAAAAAGCAAAATTTGAATCCATGCAGATGGAGTGCTTCGTGGGCATTATATTATTTATTATAAGTAATCTAGAGATGATTTAAAGTATACATGAGGATGTGCATAGGTTCTATGCAAATACTATGCCATTTTATATAACAGACTTGAGCATTTTCAGATTTGGATGTAAGCAGGGATTCTGGAACCAATCTTTCACAGATACCCAGGGAAAACTGTACATCCATTAGATCAGGAGGTTTTAAGTCATGTTTTTCAAATATTTTATAGGGTTACAGAATTTTTTTGTTGTCTGCTAGTTTTATTACTGAGAGAGGGCCATTGCAAAATTCTAGCACAATTGTGAATTCATCCATATGTCCTTCCTATTCCATCACTTTTTCTTTAAATATTTTGTGGTCATAGTATTAGATGCATACAAACTTTAAATTATTGTAGCACCTTGATGGGCCGAATTCATAATCAGCAAGAAGTGACTCCATCTTTGGTAATTTATTTTGCCTTAAGGTCAATTTTCTCTGATGTTAATATAGCTTTACCAGTTTTCTTTTGGCTACTGGTTGTATAATTTTTCATAATCTTTTATTTTCAAACATTTTTAGTCTTACATTTTAATTTGTGTCTTGAAAACAGAATATCATTTGGTTTTATTTTTAATCAAGTCCAAACATTTTTGTTTTTTAATTAGAGCATTTAGTCTATTTATATTGATATGACTACTGATATATTTGGCCATAAATGTACTATTTTATAATATGCTTTCTCTTTATTCCACCTGCTTGGTGTTCTTTTTCTCTCTTTTCTTGCCTTCTTTTGAACTGCTTATTTTTTTATCATTCCATTTTTCCTCTATCTTTATGTGAAAATGTTATATCTTTCTTATGCTTTTAGTGGTTGCTTTGGAAATTACAACATAATTCCTTCACTTATCAAAGTCTAGTAATAATTGGTACTTTTACCCTCTTGTTTGACAATACAAAGACCTTAGAATACTTAAAATCCTTTTGGCCTCCTCCCAACTTAAAGGATTTTGTTGTCATATGTCAAAAGATAATAACAGCATGCAGACACACATCCCACAAGACATTAATTATTATTGTTTTATAAACTTGATGTTCAATGTGGCCAACAAGCATAAGAAAACATGCTCAATATCACTAATTATTAGATAAATGAAAATCCAAACCACAGTGATATACCATCTATCACCAGTCAGAATAGCTATTATTAAAAAGTCAAAAAGTAACAGATGCTGGCAAGGTTGCTGAGGAAAGGGAGTGCTTATACACTGCTGGTGGGAATGTAAATTAGTTCAGCCACGTGGAAAGCAGTCTGGATATTTCTCAAAGGACTTAAAGTAGAACTACCATTCAATCCAGCAATCCCATTACTGGGTGCATACCCAAAGGAATAAAAATCATTCTATCATAAAGACACATGCACATGTATGTTCATCTCAGCACTATTCACAATAGCAAAGACATGGAATCAATCTAGATGTCCATCAACAGTGGACTTGAAAAAGAAAATGTGGTACATATACATTGTGGAATACTACCCAGCCATAAAAAAGAACAAAATCATGTCTTTTGCAACAACATAGCTAGAGCTAGAGGCCATTATCCTCAGAGAATTAATGCAGGAACAGAAAACCAAATACTGCATGTCCTCACTTACAAGTGGAAGCTAAACACTGAGTACACGTGGACGCAAAGAAGGGAACAATAGACACCAGAGCCTACTTGAGGGTGGAGAGTGAGAGGAGGGTGAGGACTGAAAAACTACCTATTGGGTACTATGCTGATTAAATGGGTGACAACATTATTTATATACCAAACCCTCACAACGCACAACTTACCCATGTAACAAACCTGCACATGTATCCCCTAAACCTAAAATAAAAGTTGGAAAGGGAACAATGTCAATAAATAAATAAACTCAATGTTCATTTAGATTTACTCATATATTTATCCTTTTTTTGCTCTTCATTTCTTCTGCATCCCTAACCTTCCATCTTGGATTATTTTCTATCTGCTTGAAGAACTCACTTTAATATTTCCTTTACAGCAGGTCTGCTGGTAACAAACTTTCTCTGTTTTTGTTTGTCTGAAAATGTTTTTATTTCATCTTCATACTTGAAGGATATTTTTACTGGGAATGATGGCCTATGTTAGTTATTTTCTTTCAGTATATTGAAGAGATTCTACTATCTTCTGATTTTTATTATTACTCTTTATAACTCAGCTATCAGTTTAATTATTGTGCCTTTTAAAAGTAATCTTTCTTTCTCTCTCTCTGGTGTCTTTAAGGGTTTAATTGTCTACAATTTCACTATAATATATACTTTTTATTTATCCTGACTAGAATTCCTTGGGCTTTTTAAATCTAGAAATTGATGTTTTTTAGAAAACTTCTCAGCCATTATTTTTATCACACATTACTTGTGCAACTCTGAGACTCAGCTCCTTCATGGCATTCAGTTGGACATATATTTAAAGCTTTTAATTACATCTTCTATGTGTCTTAGGTTTTCTGATTACCTTTTGCTTTTATGTGTCATTTTTATATTTTCCTCTGAACAGTCTTCCAGTTTACTAATATTCTCTTCAACTTTATCTAATCTACCATTTAATCTATACATTGAGTTATTAATTGAGTTGTTATATTTTTAGATTCTAGAGTGCTCCTTGGTTCTTAAATCTACTATGTTACTTTTTGTAGTTTCCAATATTCTGCCAAAAATTTCAAGCTTACTTTTTTTCTGCTTTAAAATGGTAAGTGCAATTGCTTTACCATCTCTTTCTGATAATTCCTATATTTGGTATACTTCTGACTGTGTTTCTGTTATTTTTTTCCCTTGGGTCTTTCTCAGGTACACCTTCTTGTGTCTAATTTTATTTTGTTTTATTCTACTGTGTGCTTGACATTATATATTTTAAATTATTTGTTGAAGCAATTTACTTGTGGAAGCCTCAGATGATGTTATTTTCTGCAGATTTAATTTTCATTTGCTTCTACCAGGTCCTGAAGGCACTATCAATTCATTATTGTTTATTCCAGTTTCACTACTTGAGATATTCTTCATCACCCAGATGATATATAGCTGGGCCACACGCAATTCGTGGAAGACCTGTTTTATTTCCATTTCACCCTTATCTATAGGGTGCAGCTTTGCTTAATCTCACACAAAAACATGGGAAGGTTATCTTGGTGAGTCGTGTGTTCCAACTTCATGTCTTTCCTCTTTCAGAGGGCTAAAGAAAGTGCTGCTTACTCTCTTAACCATGTCTTTCAGATTTTCACTTGCTTTGTGGTTAAAAGCAATCCCAAATGCCAAGGCCATCTCAGGACTTTTTGTTTGTTTGTTTGTTTGTTTGTTTGTTTTGAGACAGGGTCTCACTCTGTCCACCCAGGCTGGAGTGCAGTGACGAGTGGCATGATCATGGCTCACTGCAGCCTCAACATCCCAGGCTCAAGTGATCCTCCCACCTCAGCTTCTCGAGTAGCTGGGACTACAGGCATGTGCTATCACACCTGGCTAATTTTTTGTATTTTATATAGAGATGAGTTTTCATTACGTTGCCCCTGCTGATCTTGAACTCCTGGGCTCAAGCAATCTGCCCAACTCAGCCTTCCAAAATGCTGGGATTACAAATGTGAGCCACTGCTCCTGGCCAGGAATTTCATATTCTGAATTTTAACCCAATAATTCCTCGTTATCTTATTAGCTCTGCTACTTTTGAGGAATTTTTTAAGAGTTATTCAAATTTGGGATGCTTGTTTTCAATGGAATGAATGGTCTGAATTACCCAACCACCACCACCAAAAGAAAAATCTCTTTGACATTTTCAAGCAATATTTTTCATTTTTATATCATTGCTATTGCTATAAAGTAATAAGTACTGTGCTGGTCTGATGTATTGAAAGACTGTGGCAACCTGGTGAGCTAAATGCAATAATTTGTTCAATATTGGATAAAAGTCTAGCAAAGGAAAAACATTCAGCTTCTGCCAATCAATTTGTGTCCCTCTCTCCTGGGTCTCATTTCCTTTTCTGTATCACTTGGCCCCTCATCAATGACAGATGAGCCACCCCTCACGTTCCCTTTGCTCCCTTTTCTCTCTCCCCAGGGCTCCTCTAGTTATCCATGCCCTTAGAAAACTAGTTCATCTTATAAATTGTTTTCAAAGCCATTCTCATTTTTTCATGTTTTCCATCTTAAAAAGTCAAAGGTGGTTCTTTTCCTGTATGAATTCATATGACTCTTAATTTCTTTTCTCTCTCAAAAAATTAGCCCCTTTGCATTAAATCAGGAGAGACTTTGTAAAACAACATAAAATGAGTGATTCATCATGCTGATGTTAACTGGGAGAGCCTCTAAAGCACACAAAAAAGTAAATACCCTTAGAAAGATAATTTTTTATGTTTAAAATCATAATAATCACATACCCAAGTACTATTTGTTGAGGCTTAAAGTGCCAGGCTGAAAGTATTAAGCTTTACACTCTTTATAATATGGGAATTTGTTCAGAACACTGACATTTTTTGACTTGGCCTTTGCTTTTGTGATTCTACGACCAGGACTGGTTCCATGATGTGAGAGGTGACGCTGCCTTGCAAGCACCTCCATCCCTCCCCTCCTCACAGGCTCAGCCTCCCTCCTAGAGGAGCACCTATAAGCATCATCCTCAGAAAAGATTCCCGTTTCAGAAAAACCCAAAGAGCTAAAGCCTGCAACATTGAGCTTACTACACTAAAGCTCAAAACAATCTCTACATTCCTCTTTTTAGGTATCTCCAAAAACACCAACAGTTTTAAAGCCACAGACTACCACAGTATTTCCTTTCCAATGACAGCAACCATGCTTTAACTGATAAATCTTAGAGTCCATAGCAAGCAAGATGTCAGATTACTTCTTTGCAAAATGATAAAATACTTGTAAATAATGAGACAAAGCAATAAATTTCAAGAGACATTAATGCTCCTTCCCAGAAATTCCATCAGCATACCCCCCACCACCCACCACCCCACTTCACACTGCCTCCCCCAGCCAATAAACAACTTAAGTAAAACTAGATGTTTGTTATGGAAATACAGCACACACACACACACACACACACACACACACACACACACACACACACGGGGACAGAGAAAGAAAGAAAACAAATGTGGCAAAATGTTAACATTTAGGGGATCTAAGTAAAGGTATATGGAAATTCTTTGTACTATTCTTGCAACTTTTCTGTAAATCTGAAAATCATTTCAAAATAAAAAAGTAAAAACAAAACCAAAGCAACAATGAAAAATCTTGAGGCTTCCATCTATACTTCATATGCTATTAAATAAACACAAATGTCCATACTCTTTTACTCCTTTTTAAATAAATCACCACTAACAACATCGTTTTCTGATAGGCAAGTTACAAAACCATCACCTGTGTTATCATCTTCTGTTAGGTCAACATTCTTAACCTGTCTTCCTGAAGCCATGTCTTGTTACAACAAGCAAACTTATGTGTTTTCCAAGTCTCTGTTGGTGATACATTAACAAATCACTTCTTTAGGTAGGAACCTTCTGCAGATGGTCTAAGTTCATTCATTATGTTGACTTTTCTTAGTGACTTTTAGAGAATGACCTTCTGACTTTGTCTAAAATTTGAGAATCATCTCAGAGTAGGACCATATTATATGCTGACAATGCAGGCCTGAAAGTTTGAATGTCTTCTCTAAATTGAACAAAAACCCATAAATTACCAGATCCCAAAATACCACCTACATCAAGCTTTTACCTACAGGTGGTACAACCAAAGGAATGATTATTGATATCTCCTGCATGACACACACAACTTGTTGAAAGAATTTCTGGGAAGAAAGGATGATGCCTTAGAGATAAAAAATATATACATATGCTCTAGAAGATCAGCTCACAGAGCAACCAAATGCATCTGTGGTCCCTGCTTCCCACTTCTCTGCAGACCCATCAAGAACACAGCAACTTCTAAATTCTTCCAACAGAAGCAGTAGTTCATATTTATGTAGATTTTAGAAGACAAAACTCTTTCAAACACATTATTAACTCTGATTGTCTGAACAGCTCTGTGTCTTGCTTTCTCCACCTGAAAAGTAGGTTCACATCTGCTGTTCATACAGTCCCAAAATACTAGGAAGATGAACACAACAATTAGGGGTGGGGTAAATTGAAAAATTGGGTTGGAGGAGACAGAGCAATCTTTGCATGTTTTCTCAGTGCCTAAGACTTCAAGAAGCCCATAAACACCCCACAAAAAGTATGAAAGATTTGTCATTGCCAATCCCCAAATCCCAACCAAAAAGAAGAAAAAGTTGAGACCTAAGGACTGGAGGAAGTTATTTTGTAAGTGAGAAACCAAATCTAGTAATAGCCATTAGAAGACAAAGTATGTGTTAGCCTCTAATTAATGGGTAGTGGACACAGGCCAAGGGATTAAAAAACAAATGAAACACAGTTGCATACGAAAAATTACACAAAACATACAGATACATCCATAGTGTGGTTTGGACACTGCCACCTCTGGCCTGGTCTTGCTCAAGTTCAGGCTCTTCTACCAAACTCCACATCCTGATTCTGTCTGTCCTCGATCAGATCCACACTGGCCTGCTCAATTCCAGGCATCAAACCTCCTATCCCAGCTTCAGATAGAGCTCAATTTCTTTATCTACAAATTCTCACCTTTCCGTTTTGAAACACACAAAAATCTCTCGGCCTCAAGTACACAGTCTTCATCAACTTCCTGCTGATGATCAAGTACTTTCTGCTGTAAAAATTTATCAGCTGCAAGAATTGCTGGAGATGGAACCCTCCCCAAGTCAAACACACTCAGCAGAATGCCAGATGCTCACTAAGGCCTCTAGAGCTACGGATGGAGGGTTTAGCTCTTCCTGGGTTTGGATAGGGAAAGTCGAGTCCTTCATGCTGAGGCTGGATGAAGTCCCTAATCCTCACCCTTCTTTTCCCCAGGTTGCGTCCTGTCTTTCCTATGTCTGGGATTAAAACCCATCTACTTAGGCCAGGCGCAGTGGCTCGTGCCTGTAATCCCAGCACTTTGAGAGGCCGAGGCTGGCAGATCACCAGAGGTCAAGAGTTTTAGACCAGCCTGGCCAACATGGCAAAACCCTGTCTCTACTAAAAATACAAAAAAAATTAGCCGGGCGTGGTGGTGCACGCCTGTAGTCCCAGCTACTCGGGAGGCTGAAGCAGGAGAATCGCTCGAACCTGAAAGGCAGAGGTTGCAGTGAACTCAGATCATGCCACTCCAGTCTAGGCCACAGGGAGAGACTCCATCTCAAAACAAAACAAAAACAACAACAAAAAAGGCATACCATCCACTTGCTAAGTGATTGTCTTGTTGGACCTTTGAGATTTCATATGTTACTTACTCATACCTGTGGGTTACACTCACTCAACAAAATGTGTCAGTTCAGCCCTGGGGCTGAAAACGCAGAGGCCAGCCATGAGCGAGAAAGAGTTTCTGCTGACAGGGAGCAAATCTGGTCTCAGAAGTCAGCACTTTAATAGCATTAGGAGCCATATTATATATTAGCATATGGTAAGTATCAGCTCAGATAATGTTAACTAACCTTCTACACACACCTAACCCAGGTAGCTCTTTTAAAAAACGAACAAAAACCGGGCGCGGTGGCTCACGCCTGTAATCCCAGCACTTTGGGAGGCCGAGGCGGGCGGATCACGAGGTCAGGAGATCGAGACCATCCTGGCTAACACAGTGAAACCCCGTCTCTACTAAAAAATACAAAAAAGTAGCCGGGCGTGGTGGCGGGCGCCTGTAGTCCCAGCTACGCGGGAGGCTGAGGCAGGAGAATGGCGTGAACCCGGGAGGCGGAGCTTGCAGTAAGCCGAGATCGCGCCACTGCACTCCAGCCTGGGCGACAGAGCGAGACTCCGTCTCAAAAAAAAAAAAAAAAAAAAAAAAAACGAACAAAAAATGTAAGCATCTGCAAAGCCAAGGTCACTGTACTAAAAATGAAGGCGTAAGGAGTTGTGAGACGTCCTCCCTAAGCTGCAGTGGAAGGCAGCCCCCAGGAGCAAGAGCCTTTAAACCCTCTTCCAGGAGATCACACATCCTGGTGTGAACAATACCTAACTATTTATGGAAAGCTGTGATCCAGGAGTATCCCCTTCTTGGAGTTAGAAGAGGGCTGTGCCAATGGGGCATTCCTCCTGGCAGAGTTCCAGACACTGTCAAACCCACGTGGAGGAAAACGGCCAAGCTGAACTATCCTGAAACTCTCCAAATCCTACCACACGGCATGCACCTGTTGTGCAGTTCTGCGAGGCGAGGTTTCCTCCCAAGCATGCAAAGGCCGTGCTGGGCCTGCTCAAAACAGCCAGATGCCCAGCTTCTGGTAAGCAGGAAAGTCGAAGGATGAGCTGGTGCTGTGGTGGTGGGAGGTTCCTGCACTCCTGGGAGCAGCCCTGGGAAGTGTCTCGTGTGTCTAAGGACTGTCCTGTAGGTGCTTGTGCTTTCACACCGTGCTGGGCCGGGTGGTTGCAGTGTGAGCACTGTCCTTCTCCGGCTGCGTGCTTGCTTGCTCTAGGCAGCACCTCACATCCTTCCAGACCATAGGAGTCTCCGTGTCAGGTGCCACACCCACCATTTTTCTTTTCTCTACTCCTCTCCCCAGTAAAAGAGGCAACTGATGTCAGCCCCAGGCGCTGCTGCTGCCACCATGTCCACCAGGTTGCCATGCTCCCTGGCTGCCAGCCTGATGCCCTGCCAAGGTTCCTGGTGCCCACCGCGGAATGGACGGGGTGTAGGCTGAGGGCAGGTCTGCATGGACACTGGGTGATACACACCAAGCTGTGGTCAGTACAGCCCAGGCCCCCACAGGGCCTGTTGTCACCAACCCAGGCTGTTTCCCCTCATCTCTCTTTCCCTAAGAGGAGTTTTTGCCCAGGAATTTCCCTGGGCCCTCAGTGAGCTTGCCTTGTTGGACTCCAGACCTAGGCAGACATCGCCTCCTGAGCAAAACAGCCCCGGCTGAAAGCCCCCACGTGGAACCCACACACAATGGTTTATGCTGGTGCCCTTGGCTGGAAGCTGCAGGGTCCAGCTTTGAGCAATGGGAACAGAACACCAGGGCACCACATCTGAGAGTGTCAGGGCAAAGACCCCTCAGCCAGATGGACTTCATGTTCCTGCCAGAGAATTCGTAGCCCGGATTATTCTCTGGAAGACAGTGTCACAGCCAAAACTGAACACCAAGCTTGTTTCCCACTGTGTCAGAGCCTGGGTGTGCTCTACCCCAGCCAAGCTCAGAGCTCTGCAAATGAGAAGCGAGGTGAGCAAATGAGTGGAGACTTCGAAGCTTTCATCCTGTAACAAAGGGCAACCGCCTCCCTGTGCCATGACGCAGGTGGCAGGAGACCCGGGATGAGTGAAGGTGCAGGATGACGGCGGGATGGGGTCTGCTTCGGGAAGTGCCGCCAAGGCAACCCCTGAGCCCTGCCTGGGTTGATGAGGCAGGCTGAGCTGCCTAGAGTCCTCTCTTAGGGGACCTCCTTGGCCCTAGGCTGAAGCAGAGGGCGCACAGCCAGAGTTCCCAGTCAGAACGGGGCCTGTTAGAGACGTTCAGGAGGGCGCCAGGCTCGTTAGCATGATTCTTTTTCCTTTAGAAAAACAGACTCTCCTGGAACAACTAGGCCAACTCCAGCTCCTGCCCCACCCACCTGAGTCTGGCCAGGCAGCCCGAGCCCAGCGCCCAGAGCTCTCCTTGACCATGACCTCATCCCCAAACCCTCCAGGCTGGGTCCCTGCCCTCCACCGCATGAGGCAGGGAAAGAAAGGAGAAGGGAAGGTCCCAGTTCAAATATCAGGGTGCCTGTCCTCTCCCCAAGACAACCTCCCTGTGCCACCCCTAGGGAGGGTCTCCCATGTCATGGACAGCCGCACAGCTCTGCTGAGCTGCCCCCCACAGCAGTGGGCCCAGCCCTGGGCCTGGGGGACATTTTCATAATACTGACGCCCAGCCATCCTGCCCTCACCTCGGGAATCCTCACCTCCAATTGGAGGGGAGGTGAAGCAGAAGGCACGGATCTTTTTAGAAGTTCCTCAGATGGCTTTTAAAAGTTCCTGCATCTTGTCATCAGGGGCCTCTGCACTCTGCGGTATAAATTATGGGGACAGGGAAGACACACCCCTGCCCTCACTGAACTCCCAGCCACTCTGGTGGTTCCTGTTCACACAACCTCACATATATGAGGCCTCCTCAGAAGGCTCTAGGGCAATGAGGAAGACAGGGCTGGGGGTCAGCCCTGGTGAAGGGGTAGAGAGTGACCCAGGCTGGGTGTGGTCTGGAACTGATGGCCAAGAAGGTGTAACCCTTGAGGTCAGGTTTACTGCAGGGGACTGTGTACCTCCCTGAGGCTTCTTTCAGGTTGGAATAGGGACCTAGAGGCCTCTGAGGAGTCAGCCTTCTGCTCCCCAGAGGAAGGCAACAGCTCTCCAGGATGTCAGGTTCCTAACCAGCCATCCACAGGTAAGTGAGGTCTCATTTTCAGTGAGGGCAACAGGGAGCCTTGGAGAATGGGGACAATGTGCCAGGAGCCGGGAAAGGCTGCAGTGTGGCATGTTCGCCCTGGCCTGCAGGCCTCAGAGTGGAGGATCACCCACTCCACCTGGCCCAGCCCTGCCTCTTGCTCCCTGCTTTCACCCCCTGCCTCCACCATCCAGGACTGGGCACTGTGGGCACTGCCAATCATAGCCATGCCTCCTTTCCACCTCAGCAGTTAGAAGTCTGTGGAGCTTAAAGTGGAAGAAGGGACTGCTGGGTGCTGCCTTTCCTTGGAACCATCTTCCTGCCCCTTCTTGTCATTATTAAAAGGTGAATCCAGGGCCGGGAGCAGTGGCTCAAGCCTGTAATCCCAGCACTTTGGGAGGCTGAGGCGGGCGGATCACGAGGTCAGGAGATCGAGACCATCCTGGCTAACACGGTGAAACCCTGTCTCTACTAAAAAATAGAAAAAATTAGCCGGGCATTGTGGTGGGCACCTGTAATCCCAGCTACTTGGGAGGCTGAAGCAGGAGAATAGTGTGAACCTGGGAAGCGGAGCAATCTGAGTCTTGGTTGTAACAACGCCTATAAAGTTCCACCTCTGGTAAGTGTTCTACTCTCTGCTTCTATGAGATCAACTTTTTTAGCCTCCACATATAAGTGAGAAGATGTGGTATTTATCTTCCTATGCCTGACTCATTTCACTTAAAGTAATGTCTCCAGGTTCATCCATTTTGCTGTGAATGACAGGATCTCATACTTTTTGTGGCTGAGTAGTATTCCACTATGTATGCACACTGCATTTTCTTTATCTATTCACCTGTAAATGGACACTAGAGGCTGGGAAAGGTAGCAGGGAGGCAGGACTAGGGAGAGATTGGTTAAATGATATAAAATTGCAGCTAGCTAGGAAGAATAAGTTCTAATATTCCATAGCACTGTAGGCTGACTATAGTTAACAATAATTTGTTTTATATATATATATATAAAACATATATGTGTATATATGCGTATATATGTATATATGCGTATATATGTATATATGTGTATATATGTATATATGTGTATATATGTATATATGTGTGTATATATACATATACACATATACGTATATATGTATACATGTATACGTATATGTGTATGTATACATGTATACGTATATGTGTATGTATACATATATGTATATATGTGTGTATATATGTATATATGTGTGTGTATATATATATACACATATACATATATTTGAGACAGAGTCTTGCTCTGTTGCCCAGCCTGGAGTGCAGTGGCGCGATCTCGGCTCAATGCAATCTCTGCTTCCCAGGTTCAAGTGATTCTCCCACCTCAGCCTCTCGAGTAGCTGGGATTACAGGTGTGCACCACCACACTTGGCTAATTTTTTTGTGTGTTTTTAGTAGAGATGGGGTTTCGCCATGTTGGCCAGGTTGATCTTAAACTCCTGGCCTCAAGTGATCCACCCACCTCAGCCTCTCAAACTGCTGGGATTACAGGCATGAGCCACCGTGCCCAGCCTGTTATATATCTTCAAATAGCTAGAAAAGAGGACTTTGACTATTCCCAACACAAAGAAATGATAAATGTTTGAGATGATGGATATGCTAATTATTCTATTTCATCACTATACATGTTTCAAAACATTACTATGTACTCCATAAATACAATTATTGTATCAATTTTATAAATTAAAGAATTTTTTAAATTTCACCTCATAATATTGTTTTGAAAATTAAATAAATAGGGGAGAGAAATGAACAGGTGGAGCAGCAGGGAGTTTTAGGCCAGGAAAAGTATTCTGCGTGATACTGTATTAATGCCATTGTCAAAACCCCTAGAACCATACAACACAGGGAATAAACACTCACATAAACTTGGACTTTTGTTAAAAGTAATTTTCAAGCTTGGTTCATTGTTTGCAATAAATGTAGCACACTCATGCAGGGTGTTAATCTCAAGGAAAAATGGAGGCAGGGGGTTTGGTATATGGGAGCTGTGTACTTTCCGATCAATTTTCCTGTAAATCTAAAACTGCTTTAAAAAATAAAGTCTTTTTTTTAATGACATGAGACAATATACTTAACGTATTTGCGCACTGCCAGACATGTTTGCTGCTGTAGTTACCACCCTTTGCCTGAAGCCTGGGATTTGAGTTCATTTTCTGTCATAGAACCTGGTGAAGCAGAACAGCCCCATTCAGACTTTACAGCCAACAAGGGTGTTTCCTTTGGTCCACTGTCCCCGGAGCAGCCCTCCCTTTAGATATTGCTGAAGGTATGTGTCTGCCGCAGCCCCTGTGTCAGTCTGGGTTCTCCAGAGAAACAGAACCAATAAGATATTTATGTTAAGAGATTTATTTTAGGAAATTGGCTCCCATGATTGCTGCAGCTGGCAAGTCTGAAACCTTAGGGCCGGCCAGCAGCTGGAAACTCAGGTAAGAGCTGATGTCACAAACTTGAGTCTGAAGTTTCTGGGGCAGTCTGGCAGGCTGGAAACACAGGCAGAATTCCTATGTTTCAGTCTTGAGCCAAAATTCCTCCTTCCCTGGAAATCTCAGTTTTTGCTCTTACGCCCTTCAACTGATCAAATGAGGCCCACCCACATGGTGGAGGGTCATCTCCTTTGCTTAAAGTCAACTTATTATACATGTTAATCACATCTACAAAAATGCTTTTACTGCAACACCTAGACTAAGGACTAGGGTTTGACCAAACAACTGGGCACCACAGTCTAGCCAAGTTGATACATACAATTTAACTATCACAACTGCTTTCCTAAACAAACAAGAAGATGGAAAAGGATACGTTTGGAAAATGTTTGCCTTTCAAATGTTCTTAAAGAGATGCACATCAGTGCATTCCCATCTGACTGCCAGGCTAGTCGGGGAGTGGGGTATTCTCTTGTACCCCTCCTACATGCCTCTGAAAAAAAGAACTTCTGCCCCTTAGGTGGCCTGCAACATCATACCACACATGCTTGGGGATCTGGGAGCAGAGGACAGAGCTCCTTGGTTTAAGAAGCTGCTCATTTGATGCAGAAATCCACTTGCCTGTATTCATTATTTTGGACACTCCTTGCAGCAACCAATCCAAGCTCCGTCTTCTTCCGTCAGTTGACTTAATACCAGAACTTCTTCCCAAACAGACTGAGAAGCTAAGTGCCCTTGCTTTTGAGTTGGAGCGAGCAAGGGCCAATCCTCATATCATAGGGCCAGAAGCCACAATACAAGGACATCATCATTTCCAATGAGCACTTGGTCCTGGAATTCTCAGCACTAATCAAGTGGAACAAAGAAGGCCCCTTCCCTTTCAGTGCCTCCATGAGTGGAGACTTATCTCTACAAAGTCCAAAGTATGGAGAAATAAGCGTAGGTCATTTTATTATGACATTCTTTGTACTGTGCCCTTTTGGAAGGATGAGTGATTAGGAGTTGTTAGAACTTGGCCTGACAGGTAGGTTGGATTAAGGGAGCCATCACTGTCCAAAAGTTTTGAGGACACTCAGCCAAGAAGGGACATTTTATCCTTAGGGCCACCCTCAGGTAGGCGTTGGGATGAAGAAATAAGGGAGTTTAGAAAGAGATTTTTCCCAGGGGTTCAGAACTCATCGGGGTTCTGCTACTAACTGAGGCTGCCCACTCAACCTCAGGCAGCCAAAGTCCCTTTCCACAACATGGCAGCTCACCCTGCAGAGGAAGGCTCGTCCGGGTGGCCCCCGAGGCCCCTCTATCAGAGGGCGGCTCTTTGAAGATGAATCTGTCTCCCTGGCTGGGTCCTCCACTTAGGACTCCTGACCTACTGGGGGGTGGGGGGGTCCCCCGTGGTAAGTGCTCAGCCTGCTGTGAATGCAAATCCCCACCCCTACACTGACATCTCAGAAGAGGCAAGAAACTCGGGACAGAAAAGCCCACATTGCTTGTGCTTCAAAGATTTGAAAAAGGGGGCTTGTGGGCCAGGTTGGCCAGAAAGGTTGACCTTCCTGAGCCCATTTCCTCACCTCCCTGTCGACCTCACCATGATGTCCGGAGGATCAGATGATAAAAACTGCACAGGAAGCCATGTTGGGGAGACTAAATAGCGTGCAGGGGAGAAACGTGAAACTCTAAATGCAAGCAGTGCAGCAAGCAGGGTATTACTCTCTTAACTAGACAAGGTAGGTTCTAGGGCAGCTGGATAATTTGTTCCCTAAAAATTAATTAATTAATTAATTAATTAAATCCAGACAATTACCTGAGAACACAAAAGTGATCTGCGCTGATGGTTCCCGTGTTATCTCACATATTCTAAGTGTCATTGACAGGGGTCTCAGACATGGGTCTGACTGGCTCCTCCCAGCTCCTCCTCTGTGGGCACTATTTTGTAAGTTCCTTTCCTCTGTTAAACCAGTTACCTCTCTGCTAGCTGCTTTTTCTGAAGATGTGTCTGAATACTGCTATCTCCACTCTGGCATTCTTTGTATTTGAAAGTTCATAGATGTTTCCTGTCTTTTAAGAGGAGTTTCAGATGGAAAGGAGGATGAGTTCATGGACCCCACCTGTCAGATTTAATTAAATATCACATTGGCATTTATAAGAGATTTCTGATTCCATGGTGTAGGTTTAATCATTCTTTGAATTTTGGGGGGATTTCTGCTGAGGACATGGGAGTGTTCTCAGGAAACATCAAGGAACCAAGAAAGGAACAATCTGCATTCTTTCACCCAGGAGAAGACACCTCCAGAAAGCTCCTGTTTCAAACAACACAGTGGAAAGAACCCTACCTCTAAGGCAAGGGAGCAGGGCTGCTGGGGAGCTGGAGGTGTTACGGGAAAGTGGTCCGGATCCAGACCCCAAGAGAGGGTTCCTGGATCTCGCACAAGAAGGAATTCTGGGCAAGTCCATAGAGCAAAGTGAAAGCAAGTTTATTAGGAAAGTAAAGGAATAAAAGAATGGCTATGCCATAGGCCGAGCAGTCCCAGGGGCTGCTGGTTGCCCATTTTATGGTTATTTCTTCATGATATGCTAAACAAGGGTGGATTATTCATGCCTCCCCTTTTTAGATCATATAGGGTAACTTCCTGATGTTGCCATGGCATTTGCAAACTGTCATGGTGCTGATGGGAGTGTAGCAGTGAGGACGACCAGAGGTCACTTTCATCACTGTCTTGGTTTCGGTAGGTGTTAGCTGGCTTCTTTACGACAACTGTTTTATCAGCAAGTCTTTATGACCTGTGTCTTGTGCTGACCTATCTCATCCTGCGACTTAGAATGCCTTAACCATCTGGGAATGCAGCCCAGCACATCTAAGCCTTATTTTATCCAGCTCCTATTCAAGATGGAGTCGCTCTGGTTTGAATGCCTCTGACGGAGGAGCCCGGCACCTTCCATCCCCACTAATTCTCACCATACACACACAATATATCCTCCCAGCACACATCAGTGCCTGGTCATTGGCCATCACCACTGACTCAGACAAGTATTTTCCCCTGGAATCTCTTTTCCTCATTCACTGACTGTTCTATTTATTCAACTAACTTTTACCAAACACTTCCTACATGCCATGAATTGGACCATGGACCATAGACACAAAAATGAAGAAGTTGGGACATTTACCATCTTGGAACAAATATTCTAGCTGGAGAGACCAACATGTTAGCACAGGATGTTGTCATTGTGCAAGTATAATGCTTGGAAAGGTTATTTCTACCTGGAGTGGCTGAGGAAGCCTACAAAGAGAAACATCCTTGAAGAATGCGACAGACTGACTCAGACCCAGAAGGCAAAGGAATCATGTAAAGAGGCAGAAGTAGAAAAAAGCAAGGACCCCTGAAAGAAGTGACCCACATTAAGTTACTATTAGCTTTGTGTGAAATACAGTAAGTAGTTTGATAGGTCGGATCTGGAAAACAACAGAGTACTAAAGACTTAAGAAGTAGAATATCTACACGTCAATAAATATGATATGTAGAAACAGAAAACAGTAAGTGCTCTATTCTTTTCTTTTCTTTTTTTTTTTTGAGACAGGGTTTCCTTCCATCTCTCAGGCTGGTGTGCGGTGGTGTAATCACAGCTCACTGCAAAGTGCTATATTCTTATAGTCAGCTTCGATTAAGAGTATAATTGATGGCAGAGGCCACAGTTTCAACACACTTTGAAAGAATGAGGAAATCTTAACACAAGTACCTTGAGAATACAAAGCACAGAGTTGGTGGTTTATACATCTTATTACAAGGTTACAAAAGAAGGTGGAGAACATTAAGAAGTCAAACATCTCAGGGACACTTAAGGATATAAACACTAACCATTTTGACAAATTCTTATTCTGTATCTTGTCAAATTAAAAGGAGACTAATTTGTTTGCAAGAAGTTCTCCTGGGAGATTCATTCTTAAATTCTAAAAGACTTATTACTCTCTGTTCGGGAATGTGACCCTTAATCTTTAGGTTACATTTGCTTTGTATTCTTGTTATGGAAAATTGCATTTCCTCACTATTTTGTTTGTTTTCGGAAACTGTATTTGTCATAAGATGTTTATTGCAGGACATTAGTTTACTAGTCTAAATTATAATGTACACACCAGCACTGTGGTAATTAACTCACTATTATGACCTCACTAATTTTATTCTGGAAAGTTCATCTGTATGTAAGTGACTTGACTTTACTTATGAGTCAGAAAGTATCAAGCATTTATCTTGGCTCTTGCCTTACAGGCTGGTTTGAGAAATAAAACTGGACAGTGATCAGATTCATTACTTTAAAAACAATGCAAAAAGTGTTTTCCACAACAAAATACATAAGT
Source organism: Homo sapiens (assembly GCF_000001405.40). NCBI lineage: Eukaryota > Metazoa > Chordata > Mammalia > Primates > Hominidae > Homo > Homo sapiens. The sequence goes on from NC_000006.12 coordinate 159,513,391, forward strand.
TTAGATGAGTAATGCTAATAAGAAATTTCACAAGCAACTCTGAATTACATGGCTTTCTTCCTGGGAGCTCCTTTTTGGACATCGTACAGCTTTGCTCATCTCCTGAGAGGTGCCTGGGCCATATCTGCATCAGGATTAGCGGTGAGGTATTGTTTCTGGGCATCTGTCCTCGCTCATCAGCAACTGCTAGACTAGAACAGAGAAAAGGGGCAGTTCTTAGCCTTGCTGGGCTGCACGCTCCATGGGGCTGGATCATATCCGCTGTGACCAGTGGATTCCCAACCTCTGTGGCAGCACCTGGTGCACCGAAGGCATGCAATGAATATCTGCTGAATGAACGAATCTGAACGAACTCATTCCAACCTTCACATCCTATGGCTTGTGTTGAGCTGTGGAATATATCTTGGTTTCTTTTTATTTTTTTTCAATGACACAAATAACCCCAGTCTACTATGTGGAAGAAAGCATTGTATAATGGAATTAACCACCTCAGTGGGGGACGTGGAAACTTATACAATCATGAAATGTCAAAATTGTAACTAGTTATCACCCTCGTTTTACCAATAATGACACAGAACCCCAGAGGGAACACACAGTTGCCTCTGACTCTCTTTTTCCTCACTCATTCATTGGACCCTGCTGTGAACCAGACAGTGGGCCAAATGCTGGGGCTGCCCAGAGGGACAGACCAAAGCTCCTCAATCTGCCCAGAGGGACAGATCAAAGCTCCTCAATCTGCCCAGAGGGACAGATCAAAGCCTCAGGAATCTCACTGTGCAGGGAGTGCCGAGGTTCCCAGAACTGCTGCACAGACCAGCCAGGCAGGGGCTGCCAGAATCCCCTGAAAACCTTAATAAAAGTGGAGATTTTCCTTCAAGGAATGCCAAAGCCAGTGGGTGCATGTCATCAGGATTCCAGGAGACTTATATCATCTCAACATCTTTCTTCAAGATACTTATTAATTACAAAGCAACTCATAAAATAGCTTTATGGTGGAGAAATCTGGCAGGAACCACCTTAACCAAATGATAAGAGATACCATTGCCAGTGATACAATGGATCAACAGCAGGAGCCTCCTGATTTGAGGCTCAGAGAAGGATGCACGTTCACTTCTGTTGTACAACTGCTCATAGTGCATGGCTTGAATCCAATCACAAGGAATCATCACACAAACCCAAATTGAAGGACATTTTGCAAAATCAGTGACCTGTACTCTTCAAAAGTGCCAATGTCATGAAATTTAAGCAAAGTCTCAGGAACCGTTCCAGATTAGAAGAGGCTAACAAGACAGGGCAATGGAGTACACGATTTTGAATTTACTTTTCCGATAAAGGCATTGTTGGACCACTGGCAAAATCTAATAAGGTTTTAAAATTAAATAATAATATTGCATTGATGTTAATTTCCTGATTTTGATAATCACACTGTGCATTATAAGATAATCCCTTATTTTATGAAACAAGGGTATTTAAGAGTAAAGAGGCATCATATCCGTAACTTTCTCCAAAATGGCTCAGAGAAAAGCTTATACACAAATATAAATATATACATATAATATGCATAGATATTATATATGTGCACATATGATAAATACATGAAGAGAGAAATAGTGCACGCACACAAGTGTAGTAAAATGTTAACATTTTGGTAATCTAGGTAAGGTTATTCATGACTTTTTTGCATGATTATTGCATCTTTTCTGTAACTTTTAAATTATGTACAAACTTTAAACATTTAAAAATTTAAATAGAGACACTTGGCTCTTCCCTGAGAAACCCAGATTCAGCAGACCTGGGATAGGTCCAAGCATTTTTATTTTTATTTTTTAACTTTTATTTTAGGTTTAGGGGTACATATGCAGGTTTGTTTTATAGGTAAACTCATGCCATGAGGGTCTGTTGTACAGATTATTTTTGTCACCCAGATACTAAGCCTAGTACCCAATAGTTATTTTTCCTGATCTTCTCCTTCCTCCCACCCTCCACCCTCAAGGCAGCCCCAGTGTCTGTTATTCCTGTCTATGTGTCCATGTGTTCTCATGATTTAGCTCCCACTTACAAGTTAGAACATGTGGTATTTGGTTTTCTATTTCTGTGTTAGTTTGCTAAGGATAACGGCCTCCAGATCCATCCATGCTCCTGCAAAGGACATGATCTCATTGCTTTTTATGGCATAGTACATGGTGTATATGCACCACATTTTCTTTATCCAATTTGCCATTGATGGGCATTTAGGTTGATTCCACATCCTGGCTATTTGAATAGTGCTGTAATGAACATTCGAGTGCCTGTGTCTTTATGGTAGAATGATTTATATTCCTTTGGGTATATACCCAGTAATGGGATTGCTGGGTTGAATGGTAGTTCTATTTTTAGCTCTTTGAGGAATCGCCACACTGCTTTCTACAATGGTTGAACTAATTTACACTTTCGCCAACAGTGTATAAGCATTTTTTTCTCCACAACTTCACCAGCGTCCACTTTTTTTTTTTTTTTTACTTTTTAGTAATAGCCATTCTGACTGGTGTGAGATGGCATCTCATTGTGGTTTTAATTTGCATTTCTCTAATGATCGGTGATATTGAGCTTTTTTCCATATGTTGGTCACATGTATGTCTTCTTTTGAAAAGTGTCTGTTCATGTTCTTTTCACACTTTTTAATGGGGCTGCTTTTTTCTTCTAAATTTGTTGAAGTTTCTTATAGATGTTGGAAATCAGACCTTTGTCAGATACATAGTTTGCAAATATTTTCTCCCATTCTGTAGGTTGTCTGTTTACTCTGTTGATAGTTTCTTTTGATCTGCAGAAGCTTTTAAGATTAATTAGATCCCATTTGTCACTTTTGCTTTTGTTGCAATTGCTTTTGGTGTCTTCATTATGAAACCTTTGCCAGTTCCTATGTCCAGAATGGTATTGTCTAGGTTGTCTTCCAGGGTTTTTGTAGTTTTGGGTTTTGCATTTAAGTCTTTAATCCATCTTGAGTTGATTTTTGTATATGGTGTAAGGAAGGGATCCAATTTCAATCTTCTGGCTAGCCAGTTCTCCTAGCACTGTGTGTTGAATAGGAAGTCCTTTCCCCATTGCTTGTTTTTGTCAGCTTGGTCGAATATCAGATGGTTATAGATATGCAGCCTTATTTCTGGACTCTCTATTCTGTTCCACTGGTCTATGTCTGTTTTTGTACCAGTACCAGTACCAGTACCACAGTGTTTTGGTTACTGTAGCCCTGTAGTATAGTTTGAAATTGGGTAACATGATGCCTCTGGCTTTGGTGTTTTTTTGTCTGTTTGTTTTTGTTTTTTTGCTTAGAACTGCATTTGCTATTTGGGTTTTTGTTGTTTTTGTTTTTGTTCCATATGTATTTTAAAATAGTTTTTTTCTAGTTCTGTGAAGAATGTCATTGGTAGTTTGGTAGGATTAGCATTGGATCTGTAAATGGCTTTGGGCAATATGGCCATTTTAATGATATTAACTCTTTCTATCCATGAGCATGAAATGTTTGTCCATTTGTTTGTGTCATCTCTGATTTCTTTGAGCAGTGTTTTGTAATTCTCATTGTAGAGAATCACCTCCCTGATTAACTGTATTCCCCGACATTTTGTTCTTTTTGTGGCAATGGTGAATGGGATTTCATTCCTGATTTGGACCTTGGCTTGGCTGTTGTTGGTGTATAGGTATGTTAGTGATTTTTGTACGATGATTTTCTATCTTGAAACTTTGCTGAAGTTGTTTATCAGCTGAAGGAGCTTTTGAGCTAAGACTATGAGGTTTTCTAGATATAGAATCATGCTGTCTACAAACAGGGATAGTTTGACTCCCTCTCTTTCTATTTGAATGCCTTTGTTTCTCTCCTTTGCCTGATTTCTCTGGCCAGGACTTCCAATACTATGTTGAATATGAATGATGAGAGGGCATCCTTGTCTTGTGCCAGTTTTCAAGGGGAATGCTTTCAGCTTTTGCCCATTCAGTGTGATGTTTAGTGTGGGTTTATCATAAATGGTTCTTATTATTTTGAGATATGTTCTTCAGTACCTAGCATATTGAGAGTTTTTCTCATGAAGGATGTTGAATTTTATCAAAAGCCTTTTCTGCATCTATTGAGATAATCATGTGGTTTTTGTCTTTAGTTCTGTTTGTGTGATGAATCACATTTATTGATTTGCATATGTTGAAACAACCTTGTAGCCCAGGGATAAATCTTACTTGATCACAGTGAATTGGCTTTTTGATGTGCTACTGGATTTGGTTTGCAAGTATTTTGTTGAGGATTTTTGCATCAATGTTCATCACAGATATTGGCCTGAAGTTTTCTTTTTTTTGTTGTGTCTCTGCTAGGTTTTGGTATCAGGATGATGCTGGCCTCATAGAATAAGTTGGGGAGGAATTTGTTTTCTGCAGTTTTTGGGAATAGTTTTAGTAGAAATGATACCAACTTGTCTTTGTACATCTGGTAGAATTCACCTGTGAATCCATCTGGTCCTGGATGGATTGGTAGGTAGGCTATTTATTACTGATTCAATTTTGGAGTTCATTATTGGTCTGTTCAGGGAACAAATTCTTCCTGGTTCAGTCTTGGGAGTGTGTCTGTGTCTAGGAATTTATCCATCTCTTCTGGGTTTTCTAGTTTGTGTGCATAGAGGTGTTCTTAGTGGTCTATGATGGTTGTTTGTATTTCTGTAAAGTCAGTGGTAACATTCCCTTTGTCATTTCTAATTGTGTTTATTTGGATCTTCTCTCTTTTCTGATTTATTATTCTAGCTAGCAGCCTATCTTATTAATTTTTTCAAAGAGCAACTCCTAGATTCATTGATCTTTTGAATGGTTTTTTAATATTTCAATCCCCTTCAGTTCAGCTCTGATTTTGGTTATTTCTTGTCTTCTGCTATCTTTGGGGTTGATTCACTCTTGCTTCCCTAGTTCTCTTAGTTGCAATGTTAGGTTGTTCATGTGAGATACTTCTAAGGTTTTGATGTGGGCATTTAGTGCTAAAAATTTCCCTCTTAACACTGCCTTAGCCATGTGCCAGAGATTCTAGTATGTTGCATTCTTATGAGTTTCAAATAACCCATGGATTTCTGCCTTAATTTCATTATTTACCCAAAAGTCATTTGGGAGCAGGTTGTTTAATTGCCATGTAATTGCATGGTTTTGAGTGACATGGAGAGTTCTGTAGAGGTCTATTAGATCCATTTGGTCCAATTTTGAGTTCAGGTCCTGAATATCTTTGCTAATTTTCTGCCTTGATGATATGTCTAATACTGCTAGTTGAGTGCTGAAGTCTCCCATTACTATTGTGTGGGAGTCTAAGTCTCTTTGTATGTCTCTAAGAATTTGCTTTATGAATCTGGGTACTCCTGTGTTGGGTGCATATATATTTAGGATAGTTAGGTCTTCTTGTTTAATTGAACCCTTTACCATTATGTAATGCTCTTCTTTGTCTTTTTTTATCTTTGTTGATTCAAAGTCTGTTTTGTCTGAAATTAGGATTGCAGCCCTTGCTTTTTTTCTGATTTTCATTGGATTGGTAGATTTTCCTCCATCTTTTGATTTTGAGCCTATGGGTGGCATTGCATGTGAGAGGGGTTTCTTAAAGACAGCATACCGTTGGGTCTTGCTTTTTAATCCTGCTTACCACTCTGTGCCTTTTAAATGGGTCATTTAGCCTACTTACTTTCAAGGTTAGTATTGATAGATATGTGTGGATTTGATCCTATCATTGTGTTGCTAGATGGTTATTATGCCAGCTTGTTTGTGTGGTTGCTTTATAGTGTTTCTGGTCTGTGTACTTAAGTGTGTTTATATTGACTGGTAATGGTCTTTTCTTTCCATATTTGGTGCTCCTTTCAAGATCTCTTGTAAGGTGGGTCTGGTGATAACAAAGTCCCTCAGCATTTGCTTATCTGAAAAGGATTTTATTTCTCCTTTGCTGAGGAAGCTGGATATGAAATTCTTTGCTTGATATAAAATTTCTGGTTGAAGATTTTTTTCTTTAATAATGTTGAATACAGGCCCCTAATGTCTTCTGGCTTTTAGGGTTTCTGCTGAGAGGTCCACTCTTAGCCTGGTGAGCTTCCTTTTGTAGTTGACCTGCCCTTTCTCTCCAGCTGCCTTTAACACTTTTTGTTTCATTTTGACCTTGGAAAATCTGATGATTATGGGGATGATCGTATGTAGAATCCTGCAGGGGTTCTCTATTATTTCCTGAATTTGACTGTCAGCTTTCCTAACAACACTGGGGAAGTTTTCATGGACGATATCCTAAAATATGCTTTCCAAGTTGTTTGCTTTCTCCCTGTCCCTTTCAGGGATGCCGGGGTTTCATAGATTTGGCCTTTCCATAACCCCATATTTCTCAAAGGTTTTGTTTGATCCTTTTCATTCCTTTTTCATTATTTTTGTCTGACTGTCTTATTTCAGACAGCCAGTCTTCAGGGTCTGAGATCCTTTCCTCACCATGGTCTATTTTGCAGTTAATACTTGTGATTGCATTGTGAAATTCTTGTAGTGTGTTTTTCAGCTCTATCAGAGCAGTTAGGTTCTTTTTTATACTGGCTATTTCATCTTTCAGCTCCTGTATCATTTTATTGTGATTCTTAGTTTCCTTGAATTGGGTTTTGCCATTCTCTGGAAGATCTTGATGATCTTCATTCCTATCCATATTCTGAATTCTATTTCTGCCATTTCAGCCAACACAGCCTGGTTTAGAACCCTTCTTGGAGTACTAGTGTGATCATTTGGAAGATATAAGTCACTCTGGCCATTTGAGTGCTGGAGTTCTTGCATTGGTTCTCTCTTATCTCTGCATGTCAGTGTTCCTTTAACTGCTGGGCTGCCTGTGATTAAAGTGGTCAGGGAGGGGCAGGGTGGTTGTGCTGGAGTCCCAGATTTGGTGGCCCTGTCCAGTGAGGAGAAGTGAGGACCAGTGCCTGCATGGAGAACAGCCTGGACACTTTACCATTAGGTGGGTGCTCTGTGCTTGGGGTCTGGACCAGCCCCTGATCCCCATGGACTCTCCATAACCTGGACACAGCAAGGATGAGGGCTGCAAGACAGCAAAGATGGCAACCTGCCCTCCCACTGGGAGCTCTGTCCCTGGGAGTTGCAAAGCTGCTACCAACTCATTAGCCCTGGTGGTGGGTGGCTGGAGACCCAGGCCCAGAGGACCCACCCTGTGAGGAGATATGGGATCAGGGACCCATGTAACAAACAGTCTGGCCACTTTTCCACAGGGCTGCTGCAGTATGCTGGGGGTCCACTCCAGTTTCCAGTCACCTTGGATTTTCCAGCCCCTGAAGGTGTCAACAGGGAAGCCTACAAAATAGCAAAGATGGCAGCCTGCCCCTCCCTCTGGGAGCTCCATTGAGGGAGGTATAGATGTGTTGCTGGTCCAAAAACACTGGCAGGGTGGTTGTAGACCTAGGTCAGAAGATTCCACCCAGTGAAGAGAAATATGATCCAGTACCCACGTGAAAAAGCAGTCTGGCTACTTCTCTGTAGACCTGCTGTGCTGTGCCAGGGGATTGCTCCAGTCCCTAGGCACCTCAGACTTCCTTGAGCCCAAAGGCAACAACAGCTAAGGCTACGAAACAGCAAAGTTGACAGCCCGTCACTCCCTTCCCACTGGGAGTTTTGTCCTAGGGAGGCTCGGAACTATTGCCAACTGGAAAACAAAGGTGGCGAAGGTGACTGGTGACCCCAGTCAGGATGTCCTGCCCAGTGAGAAAAAATGGGGTCAGGGACCAGAATAAAAAAGGCAGTCTGACCACTTTTCCATAGGGCAGCTGCACTGAAGGCAACAACGGCTAAGGCTGTAAAACAGCAAAGATGGCGGCCTGCCCCTCTTTCTGGGAGCTCCATCTCAGGGAGGCATTGCTCCCAGTGGCTGGCTGGAGTTCCCAGCCAATGGGTCTTCTCTTGTGGGGTGCTATAGAAGCTGGGCCTGCAGACTATGACTGCTCAGCCCTCTGGATTCAAGCCCTTTCCTAGGGGTATGTATGGGGATCTAAACTCCTGCTTTGCCAGAGTTAAAGCTGCTTTTGCCAGGAAGCCTGGGTATCTAAAGCTCCTGGGTCTCTGTGTGTGCCTGAGCAGCTGCTCTGCCAAAACTCCATGTAGCTCTGTGCATCAGACTGCAGGCCCTGGTGGAGTGGGTTTGCTAAGGGATCTCCTGACCGACGGTTGCAAAGATCCATGGGAGAAATGTGGGTCCCCGGGGTTGCTCACTCACTCACCGCTTGCCTGGGCAGGGGAGGCTCCCCTGGCTCCATGTTGCTCCTAGGTGGGCACTCATCCTGCCTTGCTTTTCTCCATTCTCTATGGATTGAATTGTTTACTTGATGAATCCCAATGCTTGTACCTGGATGTCTCAGTTGAAGGTGCTGTATTTACTTGCCCCTTCCATTTCTCTCCCTGAGAGAGGCACACTCTAACTCCTTCTGATCAGCCATCTTGGCCAGACTTGCATTTTTATTTCTAATAAGCACCCCCAAGCAATTCTGATGCAACTTGTCCAGAGAAGGGCATTTGGGAAATGGTACAGACTGAAAATTGCCTAAGGTCACACAGCAAGCCAGTGAGCAAGCAAAGACCAGAACATCTCTTCCCTTCCCATCCAGGGTGGAGGAGGAAGAAGAGATGGAGGAGGAAAGAGAAAAATAATAAGGCAGAGAAGGCCCATGTGGGTCAAATCCACTCAATGTTAGTGCCAAAATTATACTTTCCATCTTGCACTAAGCCCAGAAAACCTGTTCCACTTTCTTGTGTTTGCTGCCTAGTCATCAATATTATCATAGACCCACTCACCAGGGCCAGAAACCTGGAAGAAACCAGAGCCTCCCACCTCTTAGTCAGTACCCCCCAAAAAATTAATCCAAATCCTTCTGCCTTGAAAGCTCAAAATAGGCCTCCTCTCCCTACCTCAGGAAGAATTTTCCCTCAGAAAATTCTGAGAAAGAATCAAAAAGAAATGCTAGAAATAACTTTTGATGGGCTTATTAGCAGGCTGGACACAGCTAGGGAAAGAATTTGAATTTGAGGCTATGTCAATAGGAACTTCTAGGCTGGGTGCAGTGGTTCATGCCTGTAATCCTAGCACTTTGGGAGGCCAAGGTGGGAGGATCATTGAGTCTAGGAGTTCAAGATGAGCCTGGACAACACAGAGAAACCCCATCTGTAGAGAAAATTTAAAAATTAGCCAGGCATGATGGCATATGCCTATAGTCCCAGGTACTCAGGAGCCTGAGGTGGAAGGATTGCTTGAGCACAGGAGTTCAAGACCAGCCCTGGCGACATAGCAAGATCCCATACTACAAAATTTTAAAAAATTAGCTAGGCATGGTGGTGCACACCTGTGGTCCCAGCTACTCAGGAGGCTGAGGTGGGAGAATTGTTTGGGCTGAGTAGGTCAAGGCAGGAGTGAGCTACAGTCAAGCCATGGCACACCAGCCTGGACGACAGAGCAAGACCATGTCAAAAAAAAAAGAAATAGAGAGAGAAAAGCAAAGAAAGAAAAAGGAAAAAAGAAAGAAAGAAAGAAAGAAAGAAAAGAAAGAGAGAGAAAGAAAGAGAGAAAGGGAGAAAGAGAGGAAAGAAAGAAAGAAAGAAAGGAGAAAAGAAAGAGAGAAAGAAAAAGAAAGAGAAAGACAGAAAAGAAGAGAGAGAAAAAGAAAGAGAAAGAAAGAGAGAAAGGGAGAAAGAGAGGAAAGAAAGAAAGAAGAGAGAAAAGAAAGAAAGAGAGAAAGAAAAAGAAAGAGAAAGACAGAAAAGACAGAAAGAAAAGAAAGGGAGAAAGAAAGAAAAGAAAGAAAGGGAAAGAAAGAAAAAGAAAAGAAAGGAAGGAAAGGAGGGAGGAAGGAAGGAAAAAAGGAAAGAATGAAAAAGGGAAGGAAGGAAAGAAGGAAGTCACAAAACTGAAAAGCAAAGGAAAAAAAGACTACGAGAAAAACAAAATAGAATATTGCCCAGTGGCTTCGCTCCCCTTCTTCTCCTACTCCTCCACACGCATTCTTCACTGCAGCCTGATGAGAAATGAGACTAATGAGAAAAGCAGTTGAAAAGATCAATGTACATTTTTGTTTTGCATTTTCTTGTACATTCTCTCCTCCCGCCCCCCCACCCCCTTAAGGTCATGGCATCTCTAAATTCAAGGTTTCTAAGCCATCTGGGGGAACATTTGTTGAGAGGGATAAAGAAGTCACCATTTGGAAACCTCTTCCTTATTTAAATCCTGGATTTCACTCTTTCGTTTTTTACAGAGCCCATGTTGTTCCTGAAATATTATATTGCTATGAAGTTGAAGTTTTGTTTTATAGGTAGCAAATGGTCAAAAGTACCTATTCTGGGTGTTCAAGGTTTTTCTTGTTGCTATTATTGTAGTTTGCTTTGGTTTGTTTTCAGGGAAAGAAACGTACACACCACAGATTTATATAGCTGATAACTTTCCAAGCAATCAACAAGTACCTGGAATCCAGGTTTGAGTAAACTTTGACTAACTTTGCATTCCCATGTTTAGCATGAATCTAAAACTCAAGAAATCTAAAAGACAACCAGAATATCAGACAAAGCACAAGGCTGGCAATCTGTAATCACCATCTATTAGCTTCATTGTTGCACGTGTATTTTTTTAATGCTATGTTTCCAATAATTCTTTGACAATCCACAGTTTCACCAATGTTTACAGAACGTTTCAGAGATTCAGGTTTATGGAGCCAAAAAGGCATAGGATCCACCCTGCCTGCCATTTTCTCACCCTACAAAGCAGAGTCAAATTTGATCTTGTTTAAAAAACACTTTTGACAGAATTATTGCTCCTATTGCCAAGAAAGAAGCCGTGAGAATGTCTGATTAACTTCTTCCCCCATTGCTCTCCCCAGCAGCCATTCCCCTCCACTCCAGTGTTGTTTCACAGCTCACTGATGCACTGTTCACTTTCTGGCCATACCTTTTCTCTTTCCTTTTGCTGTATCTTTAGGTTCATTGATTTTTTTTTCTTCTGCAGTGTCTAATCTGCTGTTAATCCCATCCAGCATATTTTTAATCTCAGACATTGTATGTTTTATCTTTAGAAGTTCAGGTGAGTCTTTTGAATATCTTCCATGTCTCTACTAATAGAAAATATATTTTTCTTCTATCACCTTAAATATAAGGAATACAGTTATAAAAACTATTTTAATGTCCCTGTCTACTAATTGAAGAGTCTCATCTGCCTCACTTCCAGATTTCTTTCTACTGATTGACTTTTCTCCCATTATGAGTTGCTCTTCGCTGCTTCTTTGCAGGCCTGCTCATTTTTACGGATAACACTGTAAATTTTGCCTTGTTGAATGCTAGGTATAATTAAATTCCCATAGATACTTTTGAGCTTCATTTTGGAAGGCAGCTAAATTACTCTGAAATCGTTTAATCATTTTGAGGCTTGCTTTTAAGCTTTTTAAAGGGAGACCACAGCAGCCTTTAGTCTAGGGCTAATTTCCCCTCATCACTCAGTCAAAGCTCTTCTGTGTCTTCCCAATGCCCCATGAATTACAAGGCTTTTCTTCTCAGGCTGTTGGAAAAACAAACCATCCCTGACCCTGTGTGAACCCCCCTCCTTTCCAGTGGTTTCTCAGCGTCTGACAACTGACTCACCTGTGTATGCTTTCAAGGACTCAGCCAAATTCTTCAGGGGGACCCTCCAGATCTCTGGAGTTTCTCTCTACACAGCTGTCATTTCTAGTAATCTTCCCTCAAACTCTAGCCACCTTGGCCTCCCTGTAATCTACACTCTATCTCCCAAAGTCAGGGAGTCCACCAGCTCCCCCAGGACCCCTCCCTGCACTCTCTCAAGGCAGAAAGCTGGGGCATCACAGGACTCTGTCTGTTTCCCTCCCTCTGGTAACCCTCCAAGATCGCTTCACTCCCTGGTCTACGATGTCTAAAACCATCATTTTCTACATTTGGTCTGTCTGGTCTGTTAGTTGCTTTTGGGAGGAAGGCAAATCCAGTCCTTCTTGCTCTGTCTTGGCTGAAGGTTATCACACCCTGCCACTGTCAATGTGTAGAAGTTTCTGCAAGACCCTCAGTAGGTTTTCCTAGTTTAGATAGTTTGAGGTTCACTTTTGATTGTGTGTTTTCAGAATAAACCAAAAGGTAATATCACAAACACTAGTTCCCAGATGGGGGATGAGCTCCGGGTCCACAGCACCTCCGAGAGCTGTCCCCTCTCTGGCCCTCTCTGCCTGCCTGATCCAGGGCTCCTGCCACTGCATTCTCCTTTCCATTGTTCTCTGAGCTAAGAATCACCATCTACGCACACGGGCTCTACACCACAGCAGGAAGGTGCAGTGCCTGGATCTCTGGCTCAGAAACAGTTTATGTCTTGTCAGGTTCACAATCCAGGATGTGGGCCCACGGTGTGCTGGGCTGGCGCTAGGCTGGCGCTGGGCTGCAAAAACCAACTGCACTTCTCTTTTCAGCTCTGTGTTCCGCAATTTCACATGACTAGTTGAAAGCAGCCTGGTGAGGGTGTTTACACACTGAATTCCGCAAAGGCTACCAATCAGGGTTTTTTTTTTTTTCTAGAGAGCCATTTACCAGCACATTTCTACCTATGACCAAAATATGAGTTTTTTTTTTTTTTTTTACAACCCAGAGGTCCTTTATTTTTCTTTTTAACACCTATTATGCCATGAATTAATAGGGAATAGGTTCCAGCAGCTCAGGCTCCTTCCCATTGGTTCTCACAAAGTGTGTTTCTCTGGGTGGAGCAGGCTGGCGCTTTAGCTGAACCCAGGTACCTTTCTCTTTGGCTTCTTTCTTTTTCTGATCATTTTCCTTCACGCGTTTCAGGAAGCTATCTCGGCTCTTAGAGTGCGTAATGTGCTCAATACGCACATTAATTCTCTTGGCAAGAATCTTGCCCTTAACTTGTTTGTTTACAACAATGCCAACAGCATGCTGGGGAACATCGTAGACTCCCAGTTTTGCCATGGTGACACTTGTGGGGCATTCCTTTTTGAACAGTACCCATTCCCTTGATGTCTACATTATCACCTTTCTTATAGATTCGCATATACGTGGCCAAAGGAGCAACTCCATGTTTTCTAAAAGGCCTAGAGAACATATGTCAGGTGCCTCTCCTCTTTCCCTTTGTGTTCGTCATTTTGGCGAATTACCGGAAGATGGCGGTTCCGGCCAAAAGACCAAAATATGATTTTTTAATAAGCAGTATACATCTCCTCTGGGAAAAGAAAAGGGGACTTTTTTTGAGCACCTACACTATACCAGGTAGAGTGCTGGGTACTTCAGATACTAGGGTGATCAGATTTCCTATTTATTCTTGTCTTACACTTTCCAGCACAATAATGGCAAAATTCTGCTTACATGTCTCCTATACACCTGGGTAGGAGACCTGAGAGTAGCCTAGGATTTTACTTTCCAACTAGTATTGGGAAGTGTCTGAGAGTTCAGAGAGGAAGAAATGGCCAAACTCATGAAAAGTGTGGCCATTATCAGCCTGATAAGTGGACTCTGAACCCTGGATTCTGATTGCACCCAACCTCTGTGTGCCTTTAACCCCCATACCGCCCACCAACATCTGAGGAGAAACAAGAATTTTTGCAAACATCACTGAATTAAGAATCAGAATGCCTGGGCAGGGTGCAGTGGCTCACGTCTGTAATTCTAGCACTTCGGGAGGCCAAGGTGGGAGGATCACTTGAACCCAGGAGTTCGAAGCCAGCCTGGGCAATGTAAGCAGACCCCGTTTCTACAAAAAAATTTAAAAATATATCAGGGCATAGTTGGGCACTCCTGCAATCCCAGCTACACAAGAGGCTGAGGTGGGAGGATTGCTTGCACTAAGGTGGTTGAGGTTGCAGTGAGCCATGATCACACCAATGTACTCCAGCCTGGGCAACAAACTGAGACCCTGTCTAAGAAAAAAAAAAAAAAGAATGAGGCTGCCTGGATTTGATCTCTGCCATAATCACTGGCATCTTATGTGACTGTGAGCAAGAAAAAAAGAAGTAATGATAGTCATATCTCAGAGCACAATAGTGTACCTGAAACCTTACTGTAAATGCAAAAGTGTCGTGCACTGGGGGAACCTTTTTCATGAAATCCTATGTCCAAACTTGATACATGGCCCCTCTTGCAGGGGACACATCAACTTCTTTCTAGCCAGGAGAGGGAGCCACTGCACACATGGGCCTGGGTCCTAAAGAGGATGGAAGAGCTTCCAGGGGGTCCTGAATTGCTGTCTTTCTCAGCCTACCCCAGGCTGTGGCTCCAGCCCCTACCTGCAGGTCCATCTGGGCTTAGAACAGGAGAGCAGAGGAAACAGGAGGCTTAAATGTGAATTGTTCTTAGACTCCCCCCATCCCATGTGTCTTCATTCCCTGCCAGTGTCTCCTGCCTTCCTTTGTCCTTGTTACTTAAGATCCACGTATCCTACCCAGACATACCCTCACCATCTATTCGTGCTTTCTTCCCTCATGCTCCTACCTCTGCAGGTATCAGTCAGCAAATATGATGCAGAGATCATGAGTGCATTTTACCAGGAATGATTTAGAAGGATGGACCTCCCCAAAATGGATGACTAATGGTGGAAATGCCAGACACTCGGCAGAACAATGCCCAAAAAATCAGATGCAGATGGAGCCTGGGTTACCTGTCAAATCCCAACATGAAACAACGTCCGACTTCCCCCAAGGGCAGGGATGATCCTGGGTAAGCTAGCCCCTTGAGGTGTGGTCATGCTAACCTGTCCCCTGCTACAGAGAGGGCAGAATTGGACAGCAAGAATTGTGTATCTATTTCCGATGGCTCACAGATGAGAGCTCTGTTGTGCTCTTCAGAATGCCTGGAGGTCAGAGCTCAGGCCATAGAGATGGCAAGGCCTGGCCACTGTCATGACCAGCAGACACTGAGCCTGGGGTCATGTTACCCCCTGACACACACCTATGAGGCCACACTTGCCCTGCCATGGTTATTCTCCCAGAGATCTGTGGAGCAAACATGCTCTTTGTGTGTGTGTGCGTGTGTGTGTGTGTGTGTGTGTGTGTGTGTGTGTGTGTTTGCATACACATATGTGTACACCAGGAATCCTTGGATCCAGAAACATCACTAAATACTCAGCTTATACTAAGAGCAACCCTACCAAATACCTTGCCTGGGGACCCAAACTCTGGAGTTCACAATCCACTAAAAAAAAAAAGAGAGAAAGAAAAAAACTGGAGTCTTACCAACCCTATAAGGACTCGGGCTCCCTCTATGTAAAATATGACTCAAAGATGATTAGAATCTTCAATTCTTACAATAGGAGGCTATTTCTGACAGAACCTGGCCTTAAAACCTCACCAATTTTTATAAACAGATAGAGTTGCTCTGGGAATTGATAAATTTCTCTGTCATAGGGTTGAGTAAAAGATGAATGTTCTAATATCAACCCTGGCCAATATGATCTCAAGTGCAACTTACTGGAAAAAAACTTAAACTAGCCATAGATGGACTCACAGGATGTTTTCCTCACCCTAAAAAAAAAAGAAAGAAAGAAAAACATGATTGATTTTGAACTTGGGTATCCTAATCTATCTGTGTAGTAAGTTCCAGTATTTAGGCTCCTGGGTGAGTGATTTAAGCTCTGCGAGTCAATTCATGGCCAGTGATGACAAGTGATGGAAGAGGACAATGGCTGTTTGAAGAAGAAATGGAAGAAACAGAATGTTCTGTGAGGAAGTGATTTCCTTTGGGGAAAAGGGAACATCATGGTGTAATGGGGAGTTGCTCCTTCTTCATGAGCAGAGACTTTCTTCTGGAGACCAGCAGAATCAGAAGAGCAGAGCCCAGCACCCTGACCTGTGGGAACGGAGGAAGGTGCGGGGCACCTGCCCGTGGTCTGTGAGGTCAAGAAGCGAAAGCATTGTGCTTCTGGTGCAGGAAGGAGATGGCGCAACCACCAAATGTTTCCTGCAACTCTATCTGCTCACCCTTGGTTCCAAATAAACCCTAATGCAGGGAAAGAGCAAAAGACACAGGTGCAAAAACTTGCTAAAATGCCTGGGTTATAAATTTAATTGAGAAAACCACAGCTGGTAGAGCAGGCCTTGCAGAAAATGCAGGGAAAGCTGGGCCTGATGGCTCATGCCTGGAATCCCAGCACTTTGGGAGTCCAGGGTGGGAGGATAGCTTGAGCCCAGGAGTTTAAAATCAGCCTGGGCAACAGAGCAAGACCGCATTTCTACAAAATATAAAAAATTAGCCAGGTGTGGCGGTACACACTTGTAGTCCCAGCTACTCGGGAGGCTAAGGCAGGAGGATTGTTTGAGCCCAGGAGCTTGAGGCTATGGTGAGCACTACTGCACTCCAGCCTGGGCAACAGAAAAAAAAGAAAGAAAAGAAAAGAAAGAAAAGAAAGAGAAAAGAAAAGAAAAGAGAAAAACGCAGAGAATAAGATCTAGACAGGGCCAATGTCCCAACAGAGCAATGGCCACAGAAGGACAGGGTGGGAAGGCCCCAGTCTGGAGTGACCTGCCACCGTGCCCAGTAGTGACTGGGACCCTACATTTGTGTGTGACCTGACTCTCAGGGCTTTGCAGGCCATCAGTGAAAAGATGGCCCCTCTCAGACACACACCCAAGGCCCTGCATGAAGTCATTGCTGTGTGCTATTATTTAGTTTTCAAAGGGAAAATTCTCTCTCGAGAGTGGGAATCTTTGCCAAATTGCTTAGTTACCAAGTGTTTGCAGTTATATTTACAAACTCAGTCCATCCCCTTTTCTGTTTTAATCACCAGAAATTGTCTTGGTTTATTTCCCGGGCCCTGGCTTTGAGATCAGGCTGCCAGAGGCTGAGTAAAAATCCACTCCCGTGTGAGCGCTGTGCTGTGAGGGCCACCCCTCCACCCGCCATCTGCTTCAGTACTGAAGTCAGCTACTTCCAACTGTGCTTCTATCCCGTCGTTCCCCCAGCTCTCCAGTGGACTTACGCTGAGCACCTACTATGTAGCAGACACTCCACTATGCAGATGTCTATTACCAGACAACATGTAATAGCTCAGGTCCAATGTTTCTATATATTTCCATTTATTTAATCCTCACAATAACCCTACAGAGACTATGCTAATGCTCCCATTCTACAAAAGAGCAAATAGAGGCACAGAGCACTTTAAGCGATGTGACCAATGTCGCACTGTTACTAAATGTTGGAGATAAGATTTAAACCCAGGCATTCTGGTCCCAAAGCTCACGTATGTATCAGACCTCACAACCCAGTAGTGAACTAGTGGGCTCACAAGTGCCAAGCAGCATGGGGGGAATGTTCTAGAGATGGACTGCAGGGAACCGTGGACACAGAGAGGGACAGACTTTACCTGGGGTTGCTGTGCATTGAGCACACCATGTGCCCCGGTTTGTCTCACCACCTTTAAGCCTCCAGCACCATCATGGCAGCATCTCACAGGTGCCCAGAGACTCAAGACCAACTTTCAGAATAAAGTCGTGAATGAATGGAAAATGCTCTCCGCTCCGTGCTGCGGGGATGAGAGCTGATTCGGCTGCTGACTTTGTGAGTTCCTTCGGTGCCTTCACAGTTTCCTTCCTGCCTCAGTGGTGGAGGACTCACTATCTTGGAGAGACGCTATTAACAGTCCCAGGCAGCTCAGTGCTTCTGAGGAGATTTTCAGGCTTGGCCCCCTCAAAATCCAGGACTCCTTCCCCTCAGTCTGCTGTTGAACCATTGCTCTGTGTCTCACACTTGCTGCACACCTGTCCTCGTCACTCCAGCACCTGCTGTGGACACACACAGGCACTCACTCAGTGCCCATCTAGCAGCACCCACTATGCCCCAGACCCTGGTCCAGGTGGTGGCACTCCTGGCCCCATGGAGACAGTGGAGGGCAGTGATAAACAAAACAAAGAAGTGAGATACACCCCCTTGCTCTCCGAATTGGAGCCTAGTTCCTAGGTTTGGAGAGCGGGAGTCGGCCCTAAAGAATGCCTGCGTGAAAGGTGTTGATGGTGACAAACGCTGTGCGGAGATGCAAAGCAGAGAGAGGGGAGAGGGATGCAGCGTGGGATGAGGGACTGTGACTAAATAGTCTGAAAAGTCATCCCTGAGGAGGGGACCTTAAGTAAAGGAGAAGGTGAGTCATCCCAATAACTAGGGGAAGAGGACTCCAGGCAGAGGGGACGGTCAGGGCAAAGGTGCAGGGGTAGGAGTGTGTCTGACATGCCCAATGTTCAAAGGATGCTGGAAGATGCTACAACTTTTCTCTGTGAGCAACAGATCCCAGAATTTGAGCTATGGGCTCTGGGGGCCTTTGCAATCAGACAGAACTGGGCCAGAACTGGGCCTGAAGTCTTGCTTTTCCACAGACCAATCATGCAAACTTGAACAAATGCCTTAATCTTTCTGAGGCCCTCACCAGCCTGCCCAATGGAAAGCCATAATATATAAAGCCAGCAGCAGAGAGCTGGAGCAAAACAAATGGCAGTTACCTGTGTGATGCAGGGAAAGGGAGAATCCCACTCTCTCTGGCGTGCCAGTTTCTGGCATGGTGATTTAGAAGCATGATTCTAGCCAAGCGCCTGCTTCCCTTCTCCTTCTGCTGCTGCTCATCTGACACACCTTCTGCCTGGGCCAATCAGAATGCCTAGAACACTACCTGATACCAGGAAGGGATCTGCCGGCCATGAGGCCATCTCACATACACTGTACACTGCAACATCTCAGCAGCCTTCTCAGATTCGTAGAGGAAAACTGTTACTGTCCTATTAACATAGAGAGATGAGTCAACTGACTTCACATGTCAGTGATGGAACTCGGAAATAGAGGCCCGAAGATGGGATTCATGTGGGGGTGCCCAGAGATCATTGGCCCCTCTGCCTGCCATGAAGCCTGCTTTTGTGCTGTTCCCGCTTGGGCAAGAGCTGAGCTTGCTGTGAAAGGTGCAGCTCCCCACACTACCAAACCCCTAGCCATCGCCTCCCGATGGAGACCTCAGGTATTGGGCCTCCAAGAATCAGAGAGGCCTGCATGGGAAGTGGGTGTGGCCCAAGGGCTGGGGTCCTGGCAGTCAGAGAGAGGGGGGCCATGAGAGTCCCAGTGTCTGGGTTGGGAGAATTGGGGTGACAGTGCTCCAACACACAGAATGGAAGGCAGATAAAATAAAAAAAAATAAGGCCGGGAACAGTGGCTCAAGCCTGTAATCCCAGCACTTTGGGAGGCCAAGGAGGGCAGATCACAAGGTCAGGAGATTGAGCCCATCCTGGCTAACATGGTGAAACCCCATCTCTACTAAAAAAAAAAAAAAAAAAAAAAAATTAGCTGGGCTTGGTGGCGGGCACCTGCAGTCCCAGCTACTCGGGAGGCTGAGGCAGGAGAATGGCGTGAACCAGGAGGCGGAGCTTGCAGTGAGCGAGATTGCACCACTGCACTCCAGCCTGGACGACAGAGTGAGACTCTGTCTCAAAAAAAAAAAAAAAAATTACACAAAAATAAGACAACCTCTTTTCTAATTTAGCTGAAGGTTAACCCCCCTGTGGTGAACTGAACCACTTCTAATTTCATTAGCTTATCTTGTTTGAATTGTGTGTAATAGTTTATTTCTAGACTGCCTGGGGCACTGCCGTTCTATCCATAGAGTCGCAGAATCACAGCATTTCCAAGTTGGAAATGATATTTGAGATCACACAGGCCAACTCCTCCATTGTACAGATGATGACACTGAGGCCTGGAGCTTTGATGACAGTTCAAGGTCACTCTTCTCTCACGGTAGGGCAAGAATTAAAATACCTCTGCTGCCTTGTAGTCTAAATTACTTTCTACTTCCCAAAGATTCAGGAATCTGTGACCTAATGTCACTGCTATTTTTGTACTAAAGATAATACATGCCAGAGACAAATGTCTGAAAATTCCATATTTGGGTCAACAGTTTTCATCCAATTGTCCCATTCTCCTCTGCCTACTTAATAATGGTTTTTCTATTTGCTTCCATGACCCATTCACCCTTGGATATTTTTTACTGCCTTTTATTCTCATTCCATCATAAAAGTATCTCCCATCCATTTCTCAATGTGTCTTCTGTCTTAATGTGTCTGACAGCATCTATTCCTGGCCATCCTGTGACCTGAGAGGCCCCAGTGCCTCCTCTAGACAGTAGCATGCACCAGGAGGGTATGTGACATCCACTTTTATAGTTATTTGACGAAGGGCTGAGTTGAGAGGATAAGAATAACGATTACACATTCTTCATTAAGTTTTATTATTCATTTACTAAGGACAACGTTGAAATAAAGTCTCCTAGGTTAGGAATTGCTCATGGCTGAACCCTTGGCCTCACCCTTTTGAAGCTTCCTTTTCCAGCATTCACAGATGGATTCAATTTTCCACCTCGGTGACTAATCATATACAATATGGGAAAGCAAGCACAGGCTAACTAAAGAGAGATCCGAGGGCTTGAAGCTCTAAAATCTTCCTTTGTTTGGCCCCTCTGCCAACAACTCCAACGGGCTGGACCAACCCCTAGAGCCCTGTAAGGACAGAGAGAATACTTCTGTCTCTGTAGGCAGGACCCTAAGAGCAAGCTAGGCATTGCTTTGGATGATTCCTATATATCCCACAGCTGTGTCATTTTATTTGTTTTGAAGTTTCAAAGAAGGCACAATGAACTCAGCAAACAGAGTGAGGATGGTAGGAGTGGGCGTCGGGGTAGAAAAAGGGGCTCAAGAGAGACTTTCAGAAGGAGCTGAGTCTGGAAAAAGGCACAGGCACTAGCCAGACAGAGAGGGCTTGGGGCACTCCAGGCAGAAGCAGCCCAGTGGGCAGCCCTGGAAGCAGGAAACGGCCTGGGGGGATTAGAGTCCTACACTTGGTGTGGTGGAGCTAAAACACATGCACGAGGCTGGGAGTGAGGAGGACGAGGCTGGACCGGCAGGCGCAGGCTGGACCTGCAAGGTCTCTATCTACCATGTTAAGCAACTCAAGCCTGTAGGGCAGAAGGTCTTAATCCAGTGTCCAGAAGGGAGTTCTCTGAAGCCCTTGCAGTTGTCTTCAAAATATCTGTATGTCTTTCATAAACTTTTCAAAGACATACATGACCCCCAACAACCTGCCATAGAGGTTGAGAAGCCGTGTCTTCTCAGGCTGATCTCTGTAGTGACCATGTGGAGAGCAGGTTCCAGGGGAGAAAGACTGGGGGCAGGACACTGGCAGGGGAGAAGGGACAATGCTGGTGCAGAGGAGCTGGCAGGGCTGGAGAGCAGTGACGCAGATTCATGAGAGTTAGCAGGTTACAGTAGGAGAGTAGGGAGGTCGACTGGAGGGGAAAATGGGAGACAGGGAAGAATCTGGCCAGATCCCTGGATTTCTAGCCTGGAGAGGCACATGATGGTGCCACCCCATGAAGGAGAGATTGCAGGGAGCAGAAACTGCTCAGGAGGGATGGCCATGGATTTAGACTGTTTCTAAGCTTCCTGTGGGAAAGATGCTCAGAGATGATTAAAAATGTGTCCGAAGATTGTGCGGTGGTCAGGGGTAGAGACAGAAATAACCATTAACATGCATTTAGGTATAGGTTGAAATGAGGACCAAAATGGGATCATCTAAGAGGAAAATGTGGCAGGAGAGAGACGGGTAGGAGACGGGAGCCTTAGATACACCAGCGATTAGAGTGGAAAGATGAGCTCGTGAGGAAGATGGAGGAAGAAATGGCTTGTGGGGTGGAAGGCAGACAACAAGGATGCGATATTGCTGACTGTTGAGAAGGAAAGAGTCATCATGTCAAATGCTGCTTGGAAATCAATCCAGTAAGATAAGACTACAAACTCTTCACTGGACTTTGCATGTGGAAAGTGACAGGTTGCCTTAGCCAAAACAACTCTACCATCTTAATGCAGGTGGAAGAAAGAGGGCGATGGGTTTAAAAGGGTTATAGAGTAATAAGGAAGAGACAGAGAGGTGGCCAGATATCATGCAGAATCCAGGGAGACTGTTTGTGTTTTCTACCTAGAAGAGATGAGAGCATATTGTAGCCTGAGAGAGATGGTCCGAAGAGGGGGGAGGGGCAAATGCAGGAGAGAAGGGTAAAGGCTGAGGAGACAAAGCCTCTGAGGAGGAAGGTATGCTTGGAACATGGGTCAGTTTTCTATGGGAACTGGGGAGTTTTAGAACCAGATAGAGCTTTAAAAGAAAGCCATCCAAGCCCTGCAATTGAGGGATGGATGGATGCAGCTAAGGTGCAGTAAAGACCTCGACTTCCCTACACCACGGAGAAGGGTGGTGGCAAAGAGAGCTCATCATCCTCCAGGAGAGAGCTGCTGTTCTGGTTCTGCTCCTTGCACTTTTGAAAATAAGCATCTGAGATGCTGGTGGCGGGTTTCACGTGGTCTGGGGCTGGCTGATAACCATATACTTCTGCATCCAACGCTGAGTTATCCATGGCTCATGATCAGCGCCCAGAGAACATGTCCAGCGATGTCTGCCAGAGGTCAGCCTCATAATTTGTGTGGTTTTATTTCTCTGTCATTGGCCTGGAACAGGCATGGAGGATCCCTGCAGTTAGTGTGGTAGATGCTGCTGCATGAAGCAGGGGAGCGGGCACCTTGGGAAAGAGATTTAGAATTCTGGCACCTCAACGAATTAGACAAATCGTTCAAAGTGGGGCAAAAACCTGAAATTCTCCATGAATGAGGTTTAAATTATCATCACATATGCACAGAGGATAAAGATTAAAAAGGTATAGCTCAGCAGGAAGAAATGCAACCATGAGAACACAGCTCTTTCAAAAGCCAAAAAATCATGTTTCCATTACTATCAGTTTTGGTCTCATAATTCCTATAGTATTAAATCTAACTTAGATCTTCACATGTTTAAAAAGCTCCAAGAAAACAAGTCAGAAAAAAGAAAAAGGTGAGAGGGGATGGAAAATATCTCCTCCATAGAAAACATAAAGAATTATAGGAAAAAAAGCTTGAGAACTACCGTGACCATCCCAAATAATTTTAGAAAAAGGCATAGTGCAAATATATACATATATATATTTTTAAATATGCTTAAAGTACTGTTTTACAGTTACTCAAAGAGTAAGTATTAATGCCATCTTTTTCTTCACTTTTTAAAAGAATCAATAAGAGAAAAAAAGCCAAGTAGAAGTTGGTTAATCTAGAAAGAAATATCTGGTGTTGGGATGTAGATCAGTGCCATCATTATGCAAAACAATATGGAAGCTCCCCCCAAAATTAAAAATAGAATGACTACATGACCCAGCAATCCACTTCTGTGTATACACTCAAAAAAATAAAATCAGCTCCCTCATAGAGCTATTTGCACACCATGTTCATTGCAGCATTATTCACTACAATAGTTAAGATATGTGTCTTAGTCTGTTTTGTGCTGCTGTAACAATACCTGAGCCTGGGTAATTTACAAAGAACAGAGATTTATTTTCTCACAGTTCTAGAGGCTGGGAAGTCCAGGATCAAGACACAAGCATCTGACAATGGCCTTCTTGCTGCATCATTATGTGGTGGAAGGCAGAAGGGCAAACAGAGAGGAGAAGGCAAAACTAGCCCTTTTATAAGGATATTAATCACTTCTCAAAGGTCCCACCTCTTAATATTGCTACAGTGGCCATTAAATTTCAACATCAGTTTTGGAGGGAACAAGTACTCAGACCATAGCAGTGTTAAAATAACCAAAGAGTCTGTTGGCAGAGGAATGAATAAAGAAATTGTGGTATATACTCAAGGGAATATCACACAATCTTTCAAAAGGAGACCCTGCCATTTGCAATAGCATGGATGAAACTAGAGGGCATTATGTTCATTAAAATAAGCCAGACAGAAAGAAAAATACTGCATAATTTCACATTTATGCTTAATTGAAAAAAATCACATACAGTACATGGAAACAGATAAAAAATAGTTATCAGAGGCACAGGGAAATAGAATGGTGTAGGGCAAAAGGTACAAAGCTGCAGTTATGTGGGATGAATAAGTCTAAGAGATCTAGTGTATGATATGAAGCCTATACTTAATAATATAGTATTTTATACTGGTCATTTGCCAAGAGAGTAGTGTTTAGATACTCTTACCCCCCCCCCACACACACACACAAAGAGGGCCAGACACGGTGGCTCATGCCTGTAATCTCAGCACTTTGGGAGGCCGAGGTGGGCAGATCACAAGGTCAGGAGATCAAGACCATTCTGGCTAACACGGTGAAACCCCGTCTTTACTAAAAAATATATATATAAAAAATTAGCCAGGAGTGGCAGCAGGCACCTGTAGTCCCAGCTACTCAGGAGGCTGAGGCAGGAGAATGGCGTGAACCCAGGGGGCAGAGCTTGCAGTGAGCAGAGATCACACCACTGCACTCCAGCCTGGGTGACAGAGCGAGACTCCATCTCAAAAAAAAAAAAAAAAAAAAGAGAGAGAGAGAAAGGTAACTATATAAGATGATGGATATGCCAATTTGCTTGACTACAGTAATAACATCACTATGTAAATGTGTATCAAAATAAGTATATCAGGCTGGGCATGGTGGCACACACCTGTGATACCCATACTTTGGGAGACCAAGGCAGGCAGATCACTTTAGCCCAGGAGTCTAAGACCAGCCTGAGCAACATGGCAAAACCCCATCTCCACAAAAAAAATATAAAAATTAGCTGGGCACAGTGGCATGTGCCTGTAGTCCCAGCTACTCAGAAGGCTGAGGTGGGAGGATCATTTGAGCCCAGGAGGTCAAGGCTGCAATGTGCTGAGATCACGCCACTGCACTCTAGCCTGGGCAACAAAGTGAGACCTTGTCAAAAAGAAGGAAAGGAAAGGAAAAAGGAAAGGAAAGGAAAGGACAGGAAAAAGGAAAGGAAAGGGAAGAGAAGGAAGGGAAGGGAAGGGAAAAAGAAAAGAAAGAAAGAGAAAGAAAGAAAGAAAGAAGAGAGAGAGAAAGGAAGAAAGAAAGAAAGAAAGAAAAGAAAGAAAGAAAGAAAGAGAAAGAAAGAAAGGAGGGAGGGAGGGAGAGAGGGAGGGAGGGAGGGGAGAAAGAGAGGAAGGAAGGAAGGAGGGAGGGAGGAAGGAAGGAAGGAAGGAAAAAGAAAAAAGGTATACCAAAATATCATGTTGTATACCATAAATATACACAATTTTTAAGGTACTTAATTTATTGAATGAAAAAGTCTGATGGCTTTAATTTTTAGCGAAATCTAAAAAGGACTATCAAGAGAGGTTATAGAGTTTCTCTCCCTAGAAACTGTTAAAAATGAAAGTACTGCCGTAAATTCACAGCTGAAGAACAATTTGATTATGTCTCAAAAGATTTAAAAGTGTTCATAACCTTTAACCCAAAATTCCATTCATGGGATTTATCATAAAGCCTGAGATATAATTTCAGCTTCTTTGTTTAATGGTTCTGTGGCATTGGATCTCTCTGAGCCTGATGGAATTCTTGATCCATTAAATAGGCTAGTAATATCAAATCACAAGTTATATTAAGAAGTAATCAAAATAATATATGCCATATGTTTAGCATAATAACTAAAAAATAATGTGCTTACCAAATAATAATTGTTTACATGGCTATGCTTGTAAGTGTTCATTTAATTATATAAAACTGGAAAATAATATTAGTACAACTACAAGTAATTAAATATCTATCAGTATATCCAAACTATAATAACTGCTCAACTACTAAAATAATGTCAGAAAATATTTACAAAATAGGAAAAGTTTACAATATATTTTTCTGTGCATTCTAATACTATCCTTATATGTGTAAACTTATAATTTTATCTTAAAATACAACAAAATTTTCTCAAAAGTTATTTCAGGGGTAGATTAACAAGTGAATTTTTTATTTTTATATTTTTCTATATTTTCTTAATTATGTACAATAAATGTATTACTTTGATAATCAAAAATTATAAATTAAATGTTCTATTTAAAATTTAAGCTTAGCAAATTATCTGGCTTTCATATTATTATTAAATTAGCATGACTATTTTAAAATTCCCTAAATATTGTTCAAAATAATCTTTGGGAAGAGGCTCAAGTTAGCTTCAGAAAATGATTTCTGGAAGAGCTAGCCTCAGAAGCAGTTTATAAAGGTTGCAAATGAGCTCTATCTGCTGATAGAAAGCTGGTAACAACAGTGTCCACATGTGTGTTACCAGCAGCACTTCCCAGAGGCGTCACCCTTGTGGTGGGCATGGTTATAGACCCCTGTGAGTTCCTCATGGAAAGCTCTGGACCCTCTTTCCAGAAAATACACATTGCCATATACACATAGAATGTGGGTATTTGTTTTGGAGGTTGCAAGGACCCCCTGCCATTAAGGCCTCCACTAGTATCTCTTAGGAGACATGCCGATGAGAAAGAGCTGCTTCCCTCTGACTTAAGAGTGAAGGGGAAAGTCGCTCCCTTTCTATTTCAGAGAAGCCAGGAGCTTGGTGTAAAGTTGCTAAATGAGCAGCCTCTTCTCTTCCTTTACCTTTGCATGACAGGGAGAAAGAACGAAGAGTCATAGCAGAGTGAGCTGAACCTCTTAGACGACCTGTTACATTAAAGATACTGATTAAGATTAGCTTGAATAATCTAAGCATAGTGAATAAATCTCCTATCCCTGATTTGGGGGACAGGAGTCACAGGTAATTGCAGGTCCCATATCTATAGACTAAGACCAATTGAATTTTTGCTCTGAGATCAAGTATTAGAGCAGTTTTAGATTCAGTTGCTTTAAACGATTATTGGTTTTTAGTGAAATCAAAACAGAAGCTAGCAGAATTAGGAGTTTATTTCTTTTAAAAGCTTACTCCTTAAGATTACTACTTAACTTTGGATTTTTAAAAAATACTGTAAATGTTTCAATACATATAGTTTTAAATATGTGGGTTTCATGCAAGTAGGGGTTGGAAAATTCACTGCCGGATGTAGGTCTGAGGATATGCGTTCCTCTTGGTGTCAGAACGCCCCAGGGGGCTTTGAGGGCTGCTGCCCCTGGAGGCGAAGTTCCAGCACTGCAAGGAAAGGGCGCCCATTGCGGGGACGCAGGGACTGCAGCTTCAAGTTCCGAAGGGACACATTCAAAGTTAAGTGATGGCAGACGTGCCACATTGCTTTAGACATTCATCTTTATGAAGCTTTACGCGAGCCTATCACATGTCCACGCTGTGTTCCTGAGCCTATCTCTTCATCTTGGAGGGGTTCGTTGGCTGGCACAGCAGCCTGATGAGCAGCCAGCACAGCGGAGCCCCATCTAGATCATTCCATGAAAGAGATTGAAGGGAGACATTTCCAAGGAATGTGGTGGAAAAATGCCACACAACCAAGTTGCCAAAGAAATACGAAACACAAGACAAAGCCTAAAGAGGCAAGAAGTGGAGTGGATGATCCTCTGCTCTGGCACTAAGTTCTCTCTGATTTTCCACCCACTGCCCACTTGACCTCACCCCCATGCAGCTCCAGACGCAGCTCCCGGTTTGCCTACCTTGAGGGCATCCTGATCTGAATTCATGACTTCACACACTGCCCATCCAAGATAAGGCATGAACGAGGTCTCTGGCCTCAGGCCTCCTTGGGTCAAGGGAGTTAACTAAAGGGCAGTAGAGGGTCCATTCCGAACCTAAACTATGGAGTAGTGTGGCTGAGGTCCGTGATCAGAACCATGACCCCAGCCAATGGGAGGCCTGGAAGAGTTCAGTGGGAGGGCAGAGACGTGCAAGGTCAGGCAGGCTAAGGCAAAGGTGCCCACATCAAGGAAACTCAGAGGAAGTCCAGCAGCCCTGCTCAGGGTCAGAACTCAGTCGGCAGAGGGCTGGCACCCAGCCTGGTCAGGAGGGTTCCTCGTAAGGAAATACTTCTTTCTATAGGGTGTACAATAAGGGCAGTGATGACAGCTGCAGCATATTGCCTTTACAGCACACTTGGCAGATGGCAAGGATACTGTAAATCAATCCAGAACTCAAGGTGAAAATGGCTGAGCAGGCAGCCTTGCCTGCCAGACAAGGAGGAATAGAACATCAAACGAGGTTGATCTGGAGTTGGCATTGAATGTGAAGAGTTCTCAGGACAACCCATAACAAAGGCTGAGAGACAGGAATGGAAACATGGAAGGCTCTGGGGAACTCCTTCCCCAACCCTTTAACAATAATAATAGCTCCTGTTTATTCAGGGTTTACTCTATGAGCTTTGCATGGATAATCTCATAATCCCCACAAGAAGAGAGGTTCATTGTGATTTCCATTTTAAAGGTGAAGAAGCCAAGTCTCAGAGAGTAGTCTGCGGTAACTTTTCTAGCAAGAGGAGGAATTGGTATCTGAACCCAGGCAGCCAGATTCTGGGGCTGGATGCTTTGAATAACCACACCACCCCCTTTGTGGGTCCTCCCCATCACCTCCTCTCCATGTTCGTCTCTTCTAAAGTGTGCTGCTTGCCTTGGAGAAGCAATGTCCAGTGTATGGTGAAACCTGGTGCCTGCTTCTCCATGCTTCCCAAACGCTGACACTTGGGGCATCCCAGCCCCGGGGAGCTGATCCTGTCTTGCTCAGGCTGACATCAGAGGGCTGAGAAAGAGGTAAGCCACATATTATGACAGGCATCCAAAGAAGGGCAGAATTAGAGTCAAGTTCTCTTTTGTTTGTTTGTTTTTAAAACGAAGAGCAAATTGAAGGGTGCATAATGGGAATACAGTGATTCTGAATCCACACAAACTGAACGACCTTAAACTTACCTACAGCTCAGCATTTTCTAATGGGCCAATATCAGCTATTCTGATGGCTTGCTCTATCACCCAACGGTACAAAATCAGTGTTTCTGGTGGTTTTCTCTGTCGTGAGGGATGCTCAATAAGCCAAAGAAAGGCCTCTGGGCTACCTGCTTCAGACAAGTCTTACGGTACTGAATCAGCACCGTGTTGTATTACAGAACTGAATGATCAGTCCCACCATCCGGGGTTCTGTTATGAGGATCATTGCAACACAAGATCAAAGCCAAGCACTAATCACCCCCAGCAGTTCATGGCCTTCGGACGCCTCCTCTGGCCAGGTGTGTCTGGCTTTTGCCTTCCTCTGAAGATTCTCATTCTCACGGGACCACTGTGCAGAACCCAAGGTGTGACGGAGGAGATTGTCAAAGTACCTGAAAACTTCTCAAATGAACCAAAACAAAAATCACAGAACCTTCTCCTAATCCACTCAAAAGGGAGTAAGTGAGGCAAAGCATCTCAGGTAGAGAGAAAACAGTGTCATAGAAGAGCAAACAAAAGGAAATTTGCCATGGGTGTTAATCTGTAGTAAGAGGACCTGAACGTTTGTCATGGTTGTTTCAGGAAGATACAGAAAAGGAGGCTGTGAGGAAGGGACTGGTGGGTGATTTTTTTGTGGTGTCTCTTTCAAGTCCACCCGTGCATTAGGAGACAGAATCCAAGATGCCTGCCTTGGCTGTGGTGCTTATTCCTGCCTCTCAGTAGCAGATGAACCCCTTAGTCCCTGAAGAAATAGACCAACCTCAGTGTTCACTCATGGACTAAACACAACATCAAACTAAGTAGGAACAATCCCATAGCTCAGGCTCTGCAAGATTCAATACACAAGTCACTTCAGACAACTTCAGTTGCACCAAATGCTCCTCTGCTTCAGAGCATTCACTCAGCAGTGTATCCCTCTTCAGCAAGGCAGGAATTGCCCACGTCTGCCACCTTCCAGACAAGTCTGAGGCAGCTGATGGAGCTGCTTGCTGAGACCCATTGCTGTGATTCGGGTGTCTGTCCTCTCCAAATCTCATGTTGAAATGTGACCTGCAATGTTGGAGGTAAGGCCTGGTGGGAGGCGTATGGCTCATAGGTACAAATCCTTACTAATTGTTCGGTGCTATCCTCACGATAGTGAGTGAGTTCCAGTGAGATCTGATTGTTAAAAGTGTGTGGCATCTCCCCACTCTCTCTCTCTCGCTCCTGCTCTTGCCATGTGATATGCCCGCTCTCTCTTTGCCTTCTGCCATGACTGTAAGCTTCCTGAGGTCCTCACCACAAGCAGATGCAGGAGCCTACAGAACTGAGACAATTAAACCTCTTTTCTTTACAAATTTCACGGTCTCAGGTATTTCTTTACAGCAACACAAGAACAGCCTAATACACTCATCCTCTCTCATCTTCCCAGAGCTTCTGCCCTTTCAGTAGTTACTTTGCTGACAATGAGCCAAAGACCCAGTAGGAAATGTAGGTTCCCACCGAACATGTCTAGAAGAACAGAACAGTCTTTTAAAAAGAACTTACTATCATGAAACCACTTTCATGTTCTAAACGAGTCCACATTGATTGGCAAACACTATGAAATTTGTGTTCCTTTAAAAGTGGAACTCTCAGCTACATACTATATGATTTCAATTATATTATATTTTGGAAAAGGCAAAGCTATGGACACAGGAAAAAGATCCGTGTTTGCCAGAGGTTGAGGGCAGGGAGGAATGAATTGGTGGAGCACAGAGGAATTTTAGGGAAATGAAACTAGTCTGTATGACACTGCAATGGTGGACGCATGTCATTATACATTTGTCCAAACCCATAGGATGTACAACACCAAGAGTGAACCCTAAAGCACACAATGGGCTTTGGGTAATAATGACATCAGTTTAGGCACATCGATTGTTACAAATGGGCCACTCTGGTGTGGGATGGAGATGGTGGGGAGGCTGTGCAGGGGTGCGGTCAGAAGGGATATGGAAATCTCTGAACCTTTCATAGCATTTTGCTTGCTAAGAATTTCAAAGTGCTCTAAAAAACAAAGTCTCTTAATAAAGAAAAAACAGAATTTTTCCTGGAATATGCAGTGTAGGGATGAATCTTCTCTATGAGAAAGATCATAAATGAAACATAGTAAGGACTGGACTTCCAGGTGTGCCACGTGTGTACTCTTGTTGAGCAAATAGCTCATGCCTTCGTTTCTTTATTTACTAAATAAAGTTGTTATCACCTCACCAGCTCATTGCTGTTTCTTCTTATAGGCAAAAAAATAAAAATAAAAAAGATTGTTATAGCTTTGTAGAAAGTAAATTGTGTTGAAAATCTCAGAAGTAAGCAGCATGTAAAAAGATACTGTTACCCTGACACATGCAGCCAGACCTAGCTTGTTCTAAGGTCAGAACCATGGACACTATCAAAGAAAATGACTATGACCCAACCAAAATTGCCTTTGGACCCCACATTACCCCTATAAAGGGCACAGACTCATAGCTTCCATTCAGAAAAGTTACAATTTCACACAATGATTTGCCTAAGGAAACCCCATGGATGGGATAGAGGAAATATAACTAGGTAAACTAATGAATCCTGCCATATAGATACCAGGCAAACCCCATGGGTACAGATATGGGGCATCATGGCCACCACACAATTCCCTCTTGGCACCTGCCACTGGCTGCATTTAGCTGCTTGTGTTCCGATTAATCTCATTTCTATATTAGCCCTTGAATTATCCACCTACCCCTTCTCCTTTGCTCTTCTTGGTCAAGCAGATCTGCTCTAAGCTACTTTTGACTTGCTCTTGCCCTTCAGAGTGTAGGAGTTTCCATTCTTTCATGTGAATAGGGAGAGTCAGACCCTCTCACCCACCAGAATTCTCCCTCACTTCACTCTGAACCTCCTCATGGGCACCCCATGTGAATGAATTGATTTCCTGAAGATGAACAGACTCTCAGCAGAAAATGCTGCCCCTGAAATTTGTTAGAAAAAGCAGTTGTTAGGCTTGATCTTCATCAATGTTTTGTTCATGGAAAATGGTTATTTTCCTCTGTGAAGGAAAATGAACAATAATCAAAACATACACAAGCACTTAAGCACAGTTTACAGACAAGAAATCTTCGCTTGCACGGAATATGCCAATTAAAGGTAAACATGGGATGATATCTCAGTTTAGCAGCATCAATTAATAACTTGAATAGGGAGTTCTCTGAACCTCAGCTGGTTCTGAGAGATGCCCTATAGAAAGAAAAATGAAATTCAATTAAAATAACTTGATTGTTAGAATTCCATTTATGCTCTTATTGTCCACTTTCAAACTTTCATTGCATGAAATAACCATTTTTTTTTTCCTAAGAGATGAGGTCTCAATCTGTCTCCCAGGCTCAAGTGCAGTGGCTCAATCATAGCTCACTGCAGCGTCAGACTCCCAGGCTCAAGCAATCCTCCCACCTCAGCCTCCTGAGTAGCTGGGACTACAGATACATACCACCATGCTCAGCTATTTTTTTTTTTTTTAATTTTTTGTAGAATCAGAATCTCACTATGTGGCCTAGGCTGATCTCAAACTCCTGTCCTCAAGCAATCTTTCCACCTTGGCCTCCCAGAGTGCTGAGATTACAGATGTGAGCAACCACACCTGGCCAAAATAAGCTTTACTATTCTATTCTACTCTTTATAAACTCCTTCAAGGAAGCTTTCTATTCTCCACAGGGCCTAGCACAAATCCTTGCAAATAGTATGAAATGAATAAATTTGATAAACATGTTAATCAATATCAGTGCAATCAGGAAATCCTTTTGGCAGTAGTAATTTTATGAGATAACAAAGGAACATTTATTCACTTACACTAACAATTTACCATGGCACTAAAGTAGACCTCCATTTCACCACTTTGCTAGTAGTTGTGTCTTTTACATATGTCGGAGACTCCAGTGTCTAGCAAGAATATATTTATAACATTCCTAGGAATTATTTGATAAGTTGTAAGACATGGAGCTGAATTCAACACTAGTTGGGTCATAAATATACATACATGGTCTGGCAGAGAATTATAAGTGCCCCCCAGTCTCCATGGCCCTCTTCTTCCTGAGAAGTAAGAATCCCATGTTTTAGTTTGGATCTTTGATTCTCCAGCCTTTGTAGAAGGTATAGGTGGGCATGTGACTAAGTTTCAGTCAGTGAAGCAAAAATGCTGTGTGTGACTTCTAGAAAACGTCTTTACTAGGAAGGCAAGCCCATCTCCTTCCACCTTCCAGCCATGTAGAAGAAAGTTTAGGGGCTGAAGCTAGTGGGATGGGACCACAAATTCACCTTGAAAATGAAAGCCACTCATGGTAAAGCAACAGTATGGAAGGCACCAGGATTATGGACACCTCGCTGCCACCAAAGTCCAAAAGGCCCTGGACTTCTTTTACATGAGATATCAAAAAATCTCATTGAACCTACTTCAACTCCTATGAGGGGGAAGGAGTTCCTTACATTCCTTATTAATGTCAGGGTGAGTTGCTTGGATTAGGCTTGTCTGGGAAGTAAGATAAGCCTAATCCAAGCAACTCACCCTGACATTAATAGCCCTACAGGTATAGTCTTTTTCTCTTTCTTAAAATTTGTGTGGGTACACAGTGTATGTGGGGTACATGAGGTATTTTGATACAGGCATGCAATGTGTAATTATCACATCAGGATAAATGGGGTGTCCATCACCTCCAGCATTTATCATTTCTTTGTGTCAGAAACATTCCAATTATGCTCTTCTAGTTATTTTTAAATGTAAAATATTGTTGACTGTAATTACCCTGTTGCGCTATCAAATACTAGTTCTAGTATTTATTGTAATTATATTTTTGTACCTATTGACCATCCCCACTACCATTCCCAGCCTCTGGTAACCATCATTCTACTATCTCCATGAGTTTGATTATTTTAATTTTCAGTTCCCACAAATGAATTAGAAGAGAAGTTTGTCTTTCTGTGCCTGGCCTATTTCGCTTAACATAATATCCTCCAATTCCATCCATGTTGTTGCAAATGACTATTCTTTTTTATGGTTGAATAGTACTCCATTGTGTATATGTACCACATTTTTTATTTTTTTATTTTTTCTTTTTTTTTTCTTTTTTTTTTTTTAATTATACTCTAAGTTTTAGGGTACATGTGCACATTGTGCAGGTTAGTTACATATGTATACATGTGCCATGCTGGTGCGCTGCACCCACTAACGTGTCATCTAGCATTAGGTATATCTCCCAATGCTATCCCTCCCCCCTCCCCTGACCCCACCACAGTCCCCAGAGTGTGATATTCCCCTTCCTGTGTCCATGTGATCTCATTGTTCAATTCCCACCTATGAGTGAGAATATGCGGTGTTTGGTTTTTTGTTCTTGCGATAGTTTACTGAGAATGATGGTTTCCAATTTCATCCATGTCCCTACAAAGGACATGAACTCATCATTTTTTATGGCTGCATAGTATTCCATAGTGTATATGTGCCACATTTTCTTAATCCAGTCTATCATTGTTGGACATTTGGGTTGGTTCCAAGTCTTTGCTATTGTGAATAGTGCCGCAATAAACATACGTGTGCATGTGTCTTTATAGCAGCATGATTTATAGTCCTTTGGGTATATACCCAGTAATGGGATGGCTGGGTCAAATGGTATTTCTAGTTCTAGATCCCTGAGGAATCGCCACACTGACTTCCACAATGGTTGAACTAGTTTAGAGTCCCACCAACAGTGTAAAAGTGTTCCTATTTCTCCACATCCTCTCCAGCACCTGTTGTTTCCTGACTTTTTAATGACTGCCATTCTAACTGGTGTGAGATGATATCTCATAGTGGTTTTGATTTGCATTTCTCTGATGGCCAGTGATGATGAGCATTTCTTCATGTGTTTTTTGGCTGCATAAATGTCTTCTTTTGAGAAGTGTCTGTTCATGTCCTTCGCCCACTTTTTGATGGGGTTGTTTGTTCTTTTCTTGTAAATTTGTTTGAGTTCATTGTAGATTCTGGATATTAGCCCTTTGTCAGATGAGTAGGTTGCGAAAATTTTCTCCCATGTTGTAGGTTGCCTGTTCACTCTGATGGCAGTTTCTTTTGCTGTGCAGAAGCTCTTTAGTTTAATTAGATCCCATTTGTCAATTTTGGCTTTTGTTGCCATTGCTTTTGGTGTTTTGGACATGAAGTCCTTGCCCACGCCTATGTCCTGAATGGTAATGCCTAGGTTTTCTTCTAGGGTTTTTATGGTTTTAGGTCTAACGTTTAAATCTTTAATCCATCTTGAATTGATTTTTGTATAAGGTGTAAGGAAGGGATCCAGTTTCAGCTTTCTACATATGGCTAGCCAGTTTTCCCAGCACCATTTATTAAATAGGGAATCCTTTCCCCATTGCTTGTTTTTCTCAGGTTTGTCAAAGATCAGATAGTTGTAGATATGCGGCATTATTTCTGAGGGCTCTGTTCTGTTCCATTGATCTATATCTCTGTTTTGGTACCAGTACCATGCTGTTTTGGTTACTGTAGCCTTGTAGTATAGTTTGAAGTCAGGTAGTGTGATGCCTCCAGCTTTGTTCTTTTGGCTTAGGATTGACTTGGTGATGCGGGCTCTTTTTTGGTTCCATATGAACTTTAAAGTAGTTTTTTCCAATTCTGTGAAGAAAGTCATTGGTAGCTTGATGGGGATGGCATTGAATCTGTAAATTACCTTGGGCAGTATGGCCATTTTCACGATATTGATTCTTCCTACCCATGAGCATGGAATGTTCTTCAATTTGTTTGTGTCCTCTTTTATTTCGTTGAGCAGTGGTTTGTAGTTCTCCTTGAAGAGGTCCTTCACATCCCTTGTAAGTTGGATTCCTAGGTATTTTATTCTCTTTGAAGCAATTGTGAATGGGAGTTCACCCATGATTTGGCTCTCTGTTTGTCTGTTGTTGGTGTATAAGAATGCTTGTGATTTTTGTACATTGATTTTGTATCCTGAGACTTTGCTGAAGTTGCTTATCAGCTTAAGGAGATTTTGGGCTGAGACGATGGGGTTTTCTAGATAAACAATCATGTCGTCTGCAAACAGGGACAATTTGACTTCCTCTTTTCCTAATTGAATACCCTTTATTTCCTTCTCCTGCCTGATTGCCCTGGCCAGAACTTCCAACACTATGTTGAATAGGAGCGGTGAGAGAGGGCATCCCTGTCTTGTGCCAGTTTTCAAAGGGAATGCTTCCAGTTTTTGCCCATTCAGTATGATATTGGCTGTGGGTTTGTCATAGATAGCTCTTATTATTTTGAAATACGTCCCATCAATACCTAATTTATTGAGAGTTTTTAGCATGAAGGGTTGTTGAATTTTGTCAAAGGCTTTTTCTGCATCTATTGAGATAATCATGTGGTTTTTGTCTTTGGCTCTGTTTATATGCTGGATTACATTTATTGATTTGCATATATTGAACCAGCCTTGCATCCCAGGGATGAAGCCCACTTGATCATGGTGGATAAGCTTTTTGATGTGCTGCTGGATTCGGTTTGCCAGTATTTTATTGAGGATTTTTGCATCAATTTTCATCAAGGATATTGGTCTAAAATTCTCTTTTTTGGTTGTGTCTCTGCCCGGCTTTGGTATCAGAATGATGCTGGCCTCATAAAATGAGTTAGGGAGGATTCCCTCTTTTTCTATTGATTGGAATAGTTTCAGAAGGAATGGTACCAGTTCCTCCTTGTACCACATTTTTTAAATCCATTCATCTGTTTATGGACACTCAGGTTGAGGCTGCTTCCGAATATTGGTTATTGTAAATAGTGCTGCAACAAACATGGGAGTGCAGATATCTCTTCAATATACTGATCTTATTTCCTTTGGATAAATACCCAGTAGTAGGATTGCTGGATCAGATGGGTAGTTCTAGCTTTAGTTTTTTTGAGGAACCTCCATATTCTTCTCTATAACGGCTATACTAATTTAATTCCCACCAACAGTGTATAAGAGTTCCCTTTTCTCCACATCCTCACCAGCATTCATTAGTGCCTGTTTTTTGGATAAAAGGCATTTTTATTGGGATGAGATAATATCTGATTGTAGTTTCGATATGCATTT
This sequence comes from Homo sapiens, assembly GCF_000001405.40. Classification (NCBI taxonomy): domain Eukaryota; kingdom Metazoa; phylum Chordata; class Mammalia; order Primates; family Hominidae; genus Homo; species Homo sapiens. Next base: position 159,550,182 of record NC_000006.12, read on the forward strand.
CTCTGATGATCAGTGATATTGAGAGCCTTTTCATATAACCTGTTTGCCATTTGTATGTCTTCTTTTGAGAAATGTCTATTCAAATTTGTTGCCCATTTGTAAATTGGATTACTAGATTTTTTCCTATTGAGTTGTTTGAACTCTTTATATATTCTGGTTATGAATCCCTTGTCAGATGGATAGTTTGCAAATATTTTCTCCCATTCTGTGGGTTGTCTCTCAACTCTGTTGATTGTTTCCTTTGCTGTGCAGAAGCTTTTAAACTTGATGTGATCCCATTTGTCCATTTTTTACTTTGGTTGTCTATGTTTGTAGGGTATTACCCAGAAAATCTTTGCCCCAACCAATGTCCTGGAGAATTTCCCCAATGTTTTCTTTTAGTAGTTTCATAGTTTGAGGTCTTAGATTCAAGTCTTTAATCCATTTTGATTTGACTTTTGAATATGGTGAGAGATAAGGGTCTAGTCTCATTCTTTGTTCAGCGTATAGATATCCAGTTTTCCCAGCACCATGTACTGAAGAGACTCTCTTTCCCCCCAATGTATGTTCTTGGCACCTTTGTTGAAAATGAGCTCACTGTAGGTGTATGGATTTATTTCTGGGTTTTATATTCTATTCCATTGGTCTATGTATCTGTTTATGTATGTAAACATGGTCTATGTACCATGCTGTTTAGTTACGTAGCTCTGTAGTATAGAGCTATAGTAATGTGATTCCTCCAGTTTTGTTCTTTTTGCCCAGGAAAGTTTTGAATATTCTAAGTCTTTTGTGGTTCCATATAAATTTTTGGATTATTTTTTCTATTTCTGTGAAGAATGTCATTGGTATTTGTATTTTTATATGGATTGCACTGAATCTGTAAATTGTTTGGGATAGTATGGACATTTTAACAATATTAATTCTTCCAATCCATGAACACAAAATATCTCCATTTCTGTGTATGTTCTCTTCAATTTCTTGCACAAATGTTTATAATTTTCATTGTAGAGATCTTCCACTTCCTTGGTTAAGTTTATTCCTAGGTATTTTATTTTATTGCTAACTATTGTAAATATATTTTCTTGACTTCCTTTTTAGATTGTTTGCTGTTGGCATATAGAAATGTTACTGATTTTCTTGTGTTGATTTTGTATCCTGCAACTTTACCGAATTTGTTTATCTGCTCTAATAGTTTTTCGGTGGAATCTTCAGGGTGCATCAATATTAATCAAGGATATTGGTCTGTAGGTTTTCTTTCTTTCTTTCTTTCTTTCTTTCTTTCTTTCTTTCTTTCTTTCTTTCTTTCTCTCTCTCTCTCTCTTTCTCTCTTTCTTTCCTTTCTTTCTTTCTTTCTTTCTTTCTTTCCTTCTTTCTTTTTTTCTTTCCTTCTTTCTTTTGTGTCTTTGTCTGGTTTTGGTATCTGGTTTTGGTATACTGGCCTCATAGAATGAATTTGGAAGTAGTCCCTTCTCCTCTATTTTTCAGAATAGTTTGAGTAGGATTGGTATTAGTTCTTCTTTAAATGTTTGGTAGAATTCAGCAGTGAAGCCATCAGATTCCAAGGTTTTCTTTGCTGTGAGACTTTTTATTACAGCTTCAATCTCATTACTTGTTACTGGTCTATTCATGTTTTGGATTTCTTCATGGTTCAATCTTGGTAGGTTGTATGTGTCTAGGAACTTATCCATTTCTTCTAGGTTTTCCAATTTTTTTGGCATATAGGTGCTCATAGTAGTCTCTAATAATCCTTTGAATTTTTGCAGTAATCAGTTGCAACGTCTCCTTTTTCATCTCTGATTTTATTTGAGTCTTCTCTTTTTTTCTTAGTTAATCTGGCTAAAATTTGTTTTTTGATTTTGTTTCTCTTTTCAAAAAACCAATTTCTGTTGCGCTGATCTTTTGTATAGTTTTTGTTTCAATTTCATTTATTTCTGCTCTGATCTTTATTATTTTCTTCTGCCAATTTTGGGTTTGGTTTGCTCTTGCTTTTCTAGTTCTTTAAAATGAATCATTAGGTTATTTATTTGAAGTTTTTCTGTGTTTTTATATATGCACTTATTGCTATAAACCTTCCTCTTAATATTGCTTTCACTGTATCCCATAGGTTTTGGTATGTTGTGTTTCCATTTTCATTTGTTTCATTAAATTTTTTAATTTCTTTGCTAATTTCTTCATTGACTCACTGGTCATTGAGGAGCATATTCCAGGTGTTTGTATAGTTTCCAAAGTTCCTCTTGTTATTTATTTCTAGTTTTATTCCATTGTGGTCAGAGAAGATATGCAATATTTTTTCAATATATTTTGAATTTTTAAACACTTGATTTGTGGCCTAATATATTGCCTATCCTTGAGAATGAGCCAAGTGCTGAGGAAAAGAATGTTTATTCTGTAGCCATGAATTGAAATGTTCTATAAATATCTATTAGGTCCATTTGGTCTATGGTGCAGGTTAAATCCAATTTTTTTTGTTGATTTTCTGTCTGGATGATCTGTCCAATGCTGAAAGTGGGGTGCTGAAGTCTTTAGCTATTATTATGTTGGGGTCTATCTCTCTCTTTAGCTTTAATAATATTTGCTTTATATATCTGGATGCTCCAGGGTTGAGTGAATATATATTTACAGTTGTTATATTCTCTTGCTGAATTGACCCTTTTATCATTACACAATGACCTTGTCTCTTTTCACAGTTCTTGTCTTGAAATTGATTTTTTCTAATATAAGTATAATTGCTCTTGTTCTTTTTTGGTTTTTGTTTGCATGGAATATTTTTCCATACCTTCATTTTCAGTCTATTTGTGTCTTCATATGTGAAGTGTGTTTCTTGTATACAACAGATCATTAGGTCTTGTTTTTTATCCATTCAGCCATGTAGATCTTTTGATTGGAAAATTTAGTCCACTTACTATCAGTGTTGTTATTGATTAAGTAAGAACTTAATCCTACCATTTTGTTAATTGTTTTCTGGTTGTTTTGTGGTCTTCTCTTCCTTTCTTCTTTCCTTCTTGTTTTCCTTTTAGTGAAGGTGATTTTCTATCAGTTTAGGTAGTAAAAGAGAAGTCAAGTCCATAGAGTCTAGCCCCAGGGTGAAATAATTTCTAGCATGCTTTTATGGCGTATACCATAAACTGACTCAATGCAATGTTAAGCAAATTCCCATGTCAAAACTCCCCTCCCTTTTTATAAGAGGCCACATTTCTTCTGATACTGGGTGAAATAGGCAGCCTCTAGAAATTCCTGTAGGTAGCCCCAGGCTGCCCTGCATCCTTGCCCATTTTCCAAGTGGGACAATGAAGGAAAGACACTGGACAAAATCACTCCAACCTGCAGGTCCTGCACAGGAGCAGCTCCTTTCTCCAGACTCTTCACCAGGGACTTGCCCCCTGCCCTTTCCAGCAACCCTCATCACCACAGGTTGCCTGAAAGGGAATAAATAAATGAATAGTTCATACCTGAATTATCAAATGATCACAAGGACCACGCAGAAATCTTTTGCTGAGATTGAGTGAGAGAAAAAAACTGACAATGAATCCCCAACATTCCTTAGGCCCTCCTATACCTGGTACATTCTCAGAGCATCCAGGCTCATGCCCTTTAGAAAACAGGACTGAGCTACCTGGAATCACTGGCCAAATATTTTTGTCCAAAACACTTTAGGACCCATTTATGCACAGCAACAAAGCTCCTAGTTTCTTCTTTAAAAAAAAAATCAAAAACTTCACTCTGAACAGTTGTTTTGCATTTGTCAAGCCATTCAGACCAACAACTGATACATACAAAATATTTTGAGGATATTGTGTAGTTGTCAGGGTGCTTGAAAGCATACCCCAGCCCCTGACCTCCTTCCCAAGTCCTACTGAAATAAGAATGTTCTAACCAATTAGACAAACTTTACTCCTAGGCAGTGTCTACCTGAGTCCTTACTTCCCTCAAACAATTCTCTGCATCTTCCTTGACCTCCCATCACTTTGGTGGTTCTATTTGCTTTCCTCTACAAGTCTCCAACTGTTCAATCCAAGAGCTACCTACTTTTCCCCCATCTCCTTCCTCTGAGCATCCCTGGAATGTCTATATAAGATGTGGTTGTATGATGCAGACTGTGTCAAAGAAATGGGAAGATCTTACTTGTATTGGACATTTACTGTCTGCACATGGCACATTTTATGTACATTTTCACATTTTTTTTTAGAGATAAGGTCTCGGTCTGTCACCCAGGCTGAAGTACAGTGGCACAATCACAGCTCACCGTAACCTCAAATTCCTGAGCTCAAGTGATCTTCCCACCTCAGCCTCCTAAGTAGCTGGGACTACAGGTGCATGCCACCATTCCCAGCTAATTTTGTTAAATTTTTTGTAGAGCTGGGAGTCTTGCTACGTTGCCCAGGCTGGCCTTGAACTCCTGGCCTCAAGGGATCCTCTTGCCTCAGCTTCCCACAGTGCTGGAATTACAGGTGCCACCATACCCAGCCACATTTTCTCATTTAATTCTCCCAGTCGATCGGAGCGATTTGTATCGATATTCCCATTTTAAAGACGAGAAAACTGAGGCTTTGAGTAGATAAGAAACTTCACCAGGATCATAGCATATACTAGAATTGGCACTTAAATCCAGGCTTATTTTATTTCAAAGCTAAGTAAGTAGCACACTTCCTACAACAACATTAGAGATTATTAATATTTGATAGTTATCTAAAAATACAATACAATTTATCTGACTCTGGATCCTTGGAATTAGGACAGTGAGGGAAGAACTTTGTCTAATTTGGAAAAGATAAAGAAGTTGGTCTTTTTTGTTGTTGCTTTTTTGGTCTACTTCATTCTAAAGTTCCTTAAGAAAGTAGCACACCAATTTTTATGACCAAGCCAAGAAATAAACATTTAAATCCTAATTTCATTTTTTTTGTAGAAATTAAGAGTTTCGTTAAAGCCAAATGGAGCTTAAGACACAGAGTCCAAAGTTTAGCCATCTTGCATTTTAGGTAGAAACAACACAACCAAAAAGAATTTAAGTGAGAATATGGATAATTTGAGGAGACATATAAATTATGTGATTTATATGTGATTATAAATTAAAGTTTTGCAACAGAAAGTCCACATTTCAAATTTATGACGTCAGCATTGCCCTAACCACATCAGTTTGAACTCATACTTCACTTTCTGGAGCAGCCCATTTTCTCTAATACCAACACTTAAAAGAAAGAAAAGAAATGCTTGCTTTCTAATATGTGCCTTGTTTAAAAGAAATGAAAGGAGGAGGGTTAACCTAGGTGAACATTTCTAAGATGCCTATTATGTAGAAAATAGGCCAAAACTGTCAAGAAACTGATTTTTATAAAATTGGGAGGTCTGCAGGCAGGAATGACTGCAGATATTCTCAGCAGTTGAAGTCACTGGTTTATTTTTTTCTCAATAAATTTTTAATCTTCAGCTTTCAGCACTGTTACCAAATTCCATGAGAATATACTCAAAGATATGTCACTGGGAGCAAAGGGCCTCGTTGTTTGAAAGCAATCTCCCCAATCTCCTTCCTCGTAACCCCCAAGGCCTTCAAGAGACACATGAAATACATCATGTCCATTTCCTCATGGGGCATGGAATGCATACTGTCATCACGCTGTTGTTTCTGCTGCAAACATTTGTGTTCTGGAGAAGTAACAACTTGCAGCCTCCTCAGAGGCACGGGAGACCCATGGTCTGTAGTCTCTTCCTATGAGTGTTATTATCACCTCCGTTTCCTTCCACCTTGAGAAGTGGTAGGATTGCAGAAAGCCCGCAAGTGAACAGGTCTCTACTGTACCAGGGATGCAACCGGAAAGTGCATCTCCAAGCTGCTTACAGTTCGTATCATGAAAGCACGAGAAGTGCTTCAGCACAATTGCCCTTATTCAGGAGGTGATTAGCCAGTCGAGAGCTAGTTTAATCCCAGTGTCAGAGTGAGGAAGAAGTGTATTGAAGTTCTGATAGACAAACAGTACATCGAATGCAGTCAAGTGTCGGTGGATGAATACAGCTACATCATGGCATGTCACTCCTCTTCAGTGTGTGAGATCACTGCCATCACCATTTGATGTGTTCCTGTGGGAAAAAGCAGCCCTGAGCCTCCATAATTTGGTCATTTGGCAGCCCCTGTTTTCTGCTGTTTACGTCACCAGTGCCACATCATGAGCCTCAAAGAAAATGCCTAGAGATGTTTCAAGCTCATGTCGTTATGACATTTCTTAAAGCTTTATTAAAAGAATGAATGACCTATTGCTGAAGTGTGGAAATTTGGTTGGGTTCCATGCTTTTTCTCCCATTCAGTTGTGTGTGTGTGTGCATGCACGCGCGTGTGTGTGTGTGTGTGTTTTAATGTATCTTAAAGGACATAAAACAAAATAACTTAAATATTGTTAATATGATATATAACCTAATAATTGTGTCTAAATTAAAATGACAAGCATGATATTGCCACTTGTCAAGTAAAAACAAAGAAAAAAACAAATAAATGTGGATTGTTTTTACATTATTATTTTGTATTTGTAGAAATCTACCTGATAAGTAGTTCAAAAAATCTCTCATTAAACATCCTTAAAAGTAGAATGGTTGGTGAAGAATGACTCATTTCCCATCTGTTTGGCAGGTAAAAAAAATTCACAGATGTTATAAGAATTTTCCTTCTAACTATTGCACCTATAGTTGGTCTGATGGGATTAATGCTTGGCGCCACAGAGTCACCAAATAACTGATGGGTGAATTGAAGGGAGCAGGAGGACAGGCATCCAGGCCATGTGTGCACTAAGCCTTCTCCATCTTCTGAGGCAACACTTTCTAGAAGATACTGGACAGGAAGAGATGGGAGAATAGATGGAGAAAGTTAAGGAGAGGGATCAAGATTAAAAACAGAACTGAAATACTTCAGCTATCTTTGAAAATGACCAGAAATCTAAAAGCATAAAACGTTTTCAAGCTTGCAAATGAAATGGAAAAAAAAAAGGATTGTGATGAGTGAAAGCATGCCAAGTCTTACCTAAGCCTGTCCTGGGTGTCCTCCTGAAAGAGCACTGCAAGTCCCTGTGCTGAGAAAAGCCCCATCTGGACACTTTGGAGATGTTCCTCCTGACCTCATGCTCTTTCACTGAGCTCATTCTGGATGGCTTCATGAATGCACAAATCATGTTTGCTGTGCTGCTTTTAATTTCTGCCCTTGTTTTATGACTTCTCGCTGTATAATCTCCAGAGCGGCTTCATCCGAGACTTCCCTGAAAGACTATTTCCAGGGCTCTCTGATTTTGCCATTCTGATTGTTCATCAATAGACCCAGCAGAAGTCACTTCTTTTGAGGACTTTTGCCATGTAATATCCCTCTTGCCATGTAATATGTCCTCCTGGGGACATAGCCAGCCTCCCTTGCTGTTGGGTGCACCTGTATGCCTGAGTTCTAGCCAAAAGAATGTGGGCAGAACTATGCCTGCCATTTTCAGGCTGGCCCATTAAACCCTCCTGCAATGCAGGGATGAGTTTTGCTTTGGGCATGTTGAGTTTGATGTGCCAGTGATACACTCAGCTGTGTGGGTTTGGAGCTCGTGAGAGAAGTCTGAACTTGAGATAGAATCAATGATAGAGACGTGGTTGCCCAGAGAGACTGGAGAATAAGAAAACAACCGAGGATGGATTCATGAAGACCACTAGCACTTAACAAGTGCGACTACACCAAGAAGCTAGAGATGTATCTAAAAGGAAGAGAAATAGGAAAGCAGAGTGACATTTTCATAAAAATTAAGGGAGGAGAGAGTTTTCAAGAGGCAATAACCAATAGTGACAGCTGTCACTAAAAGTTCTATAAGGCGAGGAATGAAAAACATTCCTGCCAAGGCTACCGACACCATCTGCCAGCTTCTAGTCAGGGGCCGAGAGTGTGGGGGTGTAGAACACAGTTTTCAAGAGCCCGAGGACCAAATGAGATGGAGGAAGCGTAGACAGGAAGTGTAGACTTTTAATGTTTTTGAGGGAAAGGAAGACCCTGCAAGGACAGAAGGAACACAGCAACAGAGAAAGATGTTTCCATGGGAAAAGAAAGTAAATTAGAATTAGATCTACATTACCATCCTGATGCAGGACAGGCAAGCCCCCAAAATTGAGGCTTAGCCCAGGAAGGTTCTTGGTGTTGCCCAGAAAGAATTCAAAGGCGAGCTACTGGTGCTAACAGAGCCATTTTTTGCAATGGACAGGGAGGAATTGTTGCAGTTTTCTTTAAGCCCACCAGCTATGGAAGGGTCCAGCTTGTCTCCATATGAGGCTGCCACACTAAGGTAGATTCTAAATGCTCATCTGTTATAAACAAATTTAATCTAACAGAAAGATAAATAATGGCATAAGGAAAGAAGATGGTATTCATCAAAAACATCTTTCAAGACCAGGGAAAAATACAAGCCTTTTAAGAAACGCAAAGACTGAGAGAGTTTATAGCAGCAGAGCCTCACTAAAGGAAATTCTTAAGGATGTACTTCAGGAAAAAGGGATATTATCCCAGATGGAAAGAATGAGATACAAAAAGAAATGAAAGCAAAGAAAAGGAGAAGTATGTGGATAAATCCAGAAAAACATTGACATATAAAATGAAAAGAAGGATGAGATAATATGAATAATAATAATGTTCTTTGGGAGTCATAAGAAACAAAACAATTAAAATAAACAAGAGCACAATCTTAGATGGGAGTAATGGGCACAAGCATGTTAAGAACTTCACATATTGCTGAGAGGGTTTAGATGTTGATGAACATTCTTCTTTGATGAATTAACTATGCATGTTAAATTCCATGGTGGTCATGGAAAGACTAGAAGTGAAGTGCATAACTTTAAACTACTACAGAAAAAGATGAGTAAAACCAGCCAATCAGCCCAAAAGAAGAAAGAGGAGAGAAAGGAATGTGGAAATGGTAACACAAGTAGAAATCACAACGTAATCAATACTGTGGGGGCTGGAAACCCAGACATATCAATAATTTCCATAAATGTATACAGATTTAATGATCCAATTAAAAGACAAAGATTAATAGACATTTTTGAAGATACACATAAAAAATATATGAAAACAGAAACATTAAAAGGAAAAGGATAAACATATATGTGCAGGTTAATACTAGTCAAAAGAAAACTTTGTAGTTATAGTACTTTAGGAAAAAAAATGGACTTCTTTAAAGCAAAAAACATTGCTAAAGGTAGAGAGAATCACTACATGATGATGAAAGGTTTAATTTGCCAGCAAGTTTAAATAATTGTAAACTATTATACACCTAATCACAAAGCCTCAAAATAGAAAAACATGTAAAAATAGATAAATCTACCATAATGGTAACAGATTTTCATGTAATACTCTCAAAAGTTGAGAGCCCAGGCATTCAAAAAGATCATTAAAGACAGAGACAATTTGAAAACAAAATAATTAGAACATTTGACCTAACGGGCAGATAGAACATTGCACCCAATAACTACTCAGAATGTACATTAAAAACTGACCGTAACTTGGGCCATAAAGCAAGTTTCAACACATTTAAAATAATTGGTATCATACGGAACACATTTTATAATATTATTCATATAAGCCAATAACAAAAATAACTAAAATCACCATATGTTAAAAGACAGTGGTAATTTTAGTTAAATCACTATTTAAAATTTTTCTGAAATTAAGAAACATTTCTAAATAATGTATAAATTGGAAAATTCAAATTGGGAATTGAAAATATTTTAACAGAATAATGATGAAAAGACTATGTATCAAAACATTCTGGATGCGGATAAAGTAGAACTTAAATGGAAATTCATGGCCTTAAACAGATTAGTAAAGAAGAAACGCGAAAATGCATTATGTAAGCATACATCTCCAGAAGTTAGAAAAAGAACTGCAAAATAAACTTTAATTCAGTGGAAAAGGGAAACTGTAATGAAGCAGAATATTTCTGACCCCTTCATGGGCAGGAACTGGAGTATGAGAGCAGCGCTGGACTCAGTCAGCTGCTCAGTTCCAGCAGGGGCAGACTCCACCCATTCGAACCTGCTGCGTTCCACCCCTTGCTGGGGGGGATCATGCAGGTGAGTGGGTGCCAGAGCTGGGGCAAGTGCTTTTGAGCACCAACAGGAGGGAACTCCGTACTGGCCACACAGCAGTGTCTGTGTGGGGGTGCCCATGACCCCTGAAGCCCCAGAAAAAAAAGTGTTACAGTGATCTTTTTTTTTTTTTTATTGTTTGTTTGTTTGTTTTTTGTGAGACAGAGTCTCACTCTGTCACCCTGGAGTGCAATGGCGCAATCTTGGCTCACTGCAACCTCTGCCTCCGGGGTTCAAGCAATTCTCCTGCCTCAGCCTCCTGAGTAGCTGGGATTACAGGTGTGCGTCACCACGCCCAGCTAATCTTTGTATTTTTAGTAGAGACGAGGTTTCACCATGTTGGTCAGGCTGGTCTCGAACTCCTGACCTCGTGATCCATGCGCCTCAGCCTCCCAAAGTGCTGGGATTACAGGCAGCCACCATGCCCGGCCTACAGTGCTCTTTTAACTCAGTCGTCTGTGGATGGCTGAAGTGTTAACAGCTCAGTGGACCATCTGCCTTTTCGCGTGATGCAGCTGCCTTCCACCAGTGGGGGTGAAAGGTCGGTGTGACAGTCTTTTGCACCTGCACTCATGGCACCTCAGTTTGCGTCCAGCAACCAAGAGAAATGAGGTCACATGAACAAGTTGAAGGTAGTAAATGTGGGAGATTTTACTGCCGACGAAAGTGGCTCACAGCAGGAAAGGGAGCTGGAAAGGGGACAGAGTGGTAAGGTAATCTTCCCCTGAAGTCCAGCTGTCCCCGGCCAGACTCCTCTCTGAAGCTACACTATCAAGTTGTCCCTCTGAAGTCAAGCCGCTTCTCTCTAACGTCCAACCATAGTCTCCAATGTCCAACTGCTTCTCCTCTCTCTGCTTGCTGAGCCTGGAGTTTTAATAGGCACAGGAAGAAGAGCAGGGCAGGCCATGGGTGGTTTTGGAAAAGGCAACATTTGAGCAGGAAAACAGGGATGTAAGTTCTCACTTTGGGCCATGGTATCAGGCTTTTTGGCTTGTGGGTGGGGCCCTCACTGGGGACCCGCCCCCTTCTGCCTAGAATTTCCCTACTTCCTGTCCCTATCAGTAAGATATGAAGAAAAAGTGACAAAACTAAAAGAAGCATACAATAGAAAGGGACAGAGACTAATAAAATGGCAAACTCGTAAATATGATTGATAAAGAGAAAAAGAAAAATTACAAACACAGTTAGGGACATAGCTTCCAGTGTGGCCAATATTTAAAAAACACAAGATAATATTAGGAACAACTTTGTACAAATAAAACGTATAACATAGAAGACTGGTCAAATTCCTAGAGAAAATATAACTTACCAAAGCTGAGTTAAGAAGAAATGGAAAACCTTAAAAATCCAATGACCATTAAAGAAATTGAATCAATAGCTCACTCAAGGCACAGTTATATTTTTGTACAAACTATACCAGAGTACAGAAAATGAGGAAATGCCGCCCAACCCATTGTTTGAGGTCAGTATAACACAGGTAGGTAAAAAGCAGAGGAAGAATAGAGCAAGAGTGAGGATAACAGCATATTGTATGGTTAAGAATGAGGAGTCTGATTATTTGGAGTTTTTTGCTGTTGAGTGGTATGAGTGTCTTCCATATATTGTATATTAACCCTTTATCAGATACATGTTCTGCAAATATTTTCTCCCACTCTGTAGGTTTCCTTTTCAATATGTTGATTTTTTTCCTCTGCTGTGCAGAGCTTTCTAGTTTGATGCAACCTCACTTGTCTATTTTTGCTTTTGTTGCCTGTGCTTTTGGAGTCATGACCAAAAAACTATCGCTAAAACCAATGTCAGGAAAACTTTTCCCTATGTTTTTTCTTTTAGTTTTACAGTTTGGAGTCTTAGATTTAAGTGTTTAATCCATTTTGAGCTGATTTTTGTATATTGTGTGAGATAAAGGTCCAGGTTTCATTCTTCTGCATAGGGATATCCAGCTTTCCCAACACCATTTATTGAAGAGACCATCCTTTCCCTATGTGGAGGTCTTGGCACCCTTGTCAAAAATCAGTTAACAGCAAATGTGTGGCAAGGACATGGAGAAAAAGAAACCCTTGTGCACCATTGAAGGGACTGTAAATTGCTATGGCCATAATGGAAAACAGCATGGAGATCCCTCAAAAAATTAAAAATAGGACTATGACATGATCCAGCAATCCCTCTGAATAATATATACACAAAGGAAATAAGTCTACATCTCAAAAAGATAGCTGCCCTCCTGTGTTCACTGCAACATTATTCAAATAGCCAAGATACGGAAACAATCTAAATGTCTGTCAACTGATGAATGGATAAAGAAAATGTTACACACATACACACATATGCACATGCATGCATGCATGCACACACACACACACACACACACACACACAGAGGAATATTATTCAGCCTTTAAAAAGAAGATCCTGCCATTTGCAATGACACGGATGAACCTGGAGGACATTTATGTCAAGTGAAATAAGCCAGACACAGAAAGACAAATACTGCATGATCTCACTTATGTATGGAATCTAAAATAGTCAAAATCAGAGAAGCAGAGAGTAGAATGGTGGTTTCGCAAGGCTAGGAATTGGGAGAAATGGGAAGATATTTGTCAAAGAGTACAAAGGTTCAGTATGCAGTGTGAATGAGTTCTGGAGGTCCAATGTGCCAATTGGTGATTACAGTTGATAATACTGTATTATACAATTGAGATTTGCTAAGAGGGCAGATCTTAAGTGCTTTCACTTGGAAAACAAAATAAAAAGAAAGAGGTTGGGCACACTGATACCTGTAATCCTAGCACTTTGGGAGGCCAAGTCAGGAGGATCACTTGAGCCCAGAAGTTCGAGACCAGCCTGGGCAACATAGCAAGACCCCATGTCTACAAAAAAAATTAAAAAATTACCCAGGCATGGTTGCTCGTGCCTATAATCCCAGCCACTTGGGAGTATAGGTGAGGAGAGATCCTCCCTGAGGTGGGAGGGTCACCTAACTCTGGAAATTCAAGGCTGCAGTGAGATGTGATCATGCCATTGCACTCTACCCTGGACAATAGAGCAAGATCCTGTCTCTAAAAATAATAATAAAATTTAAAATAAAAAAATGAAGAAAATTGTGATGATAGTTTGAATGGCTAATTAGCTTGCTTGTGCTGATTGATTTACGATGTGTAAAATATGTATTTAGGAAAAACATACATCATAGATTTTTTAAAGGATGAAATGAGCTGTCAAAAGGACTTAGGAAAATAAGTATTCAACAATGTATAGCCATTATTATTAGTACTAGTAGTTATTGATACCAAAACCTGACAAGAACTGTATGAGAAAGAGAAATTACAGGTCAATGTCCATCATGAAAATTGATGCAAATAATCCAAACAAAATATTATCAAAAGGGAAACAGGTGTGTATAAATAATAATATCATAATCTAATTGGGCTTATTCTAAAAATTCAAGGTTGAGTTACCATTAGTACATCAATCAATGCAGCTCTCCACATTAATAACTTAAAGGGAAAAAATTATACATTTATCTTAATATGATACAAAAACCATCTGACAATAATCAATATCCTTTCATGATTTGGAAAAGCTCTCAGCAAACTTGGAACAGAGAACTTCCTTCTTCTGCTAAAGAGTGCCTAAAACGAAATCAATGATAACCTAATTTTTGATGATGAAACACTGGAATTTCTTTAAGATCAAAAATGAAGTCCTGGGCTGGGCGCGGTGGCTCAAGCCTGTCATCTCAGCACTTTGGCAGGCCAAGGTAGGCAGATCACCTGAGGTCAGGAGTTTGAGACCAACCTGGCCAACATGGCAAAACCCCCTCTCCACTAAAAATACAAAAATTAGCCTGGCGTGATGGTGGGCACCTATAATCCCAGCTACTTGGGAGGCCGAGGCAGGAAAATCGCTTGAACCCAGGAGGCAAAGGTTTCGGTGAGCCAAGAACGCACCACTGCACTCCAGCCTGGGCGACAGAGAGAGACTCCGTCTCAAAAAAAAAAAAAAAAAAAAGTCCTAAGTCCTAGGTCTACTGGGCAAAACAGTCCTTCTGAGAAACTGACCACCAATTCCCCCTGTTGCAGTTAATGCTCAGGCCTGGGCCAAGCTTCCTTCCCCCTGGTGGGCAGGCAGGTGTGGAACCAGACTCCAGGATGGTGGGAGAAGACTGGAAGGTATAAAACCTAGGTGTGGGTGGAACAGGAGCTTCTTGGAGGACCTTGACAGTCTCTTTCCCCTGCCCCACAGGCAGGATTAGCTACAGCTGGGGCCTTCTGGGGACAGGAAGACCTGGGAAGCTTCTGCTTTTTCTCTGCTGCCCTCTCATTTCCACTATCTCATTGTGAGTGTTTGCCTTAATGTAAGAAAGCACATCACCAGGACCTAACAGTACTTTACTTACTCAGTTGCTAAGATGAAAAACGGCTTAGTCTTTGTTGAAAGGAAACTTGTATATTTACAGCTAATGAAGTAAACAGAATCTTGGCGGGCTGACTAATCCACTGAAGGGAGGTCCGGAGGAAGATCAAACTTGTCCGTGTCCTGTTCTCTCTCACAAGTGAACAGGATTTTGTTTTTCTCTATTGTGTTTTCCTCTCTCGTTAAATTATTCTCCTATAAGATATTGTGTTTACCCATCTGAAATATAAACTGCTTATATTTGGTTTCTGTTGTTGTTTTGAGTTTTTTTTTTTGGTGTTTTGTTTTTTTTTGCAGACAGGGTCACATTCTGTTGCCCAGGCTGTAGAACAGTGGCATGAGCATAGCTCATTGCAGCCTCTAACTCCCCAGCTCAAGGGATCCTCCCACCTCAGCCTCCCGAGTAGGTAGGACAACAGGCATGTGCCACTCTGCCTGGCTAATCTTTCCTCAATTTTTTTTGTAGCAACGGGGGTCTCACTATATTGCTCAAGCTAGTCTCAAACTCCTGGCCTCAAGGGATCCACCCGCCTTGGCCCCACAAAGCAGTGGGATGACAGGTATGAGCCACCATGCCTGGCCCAAACTATTTATATTTGAATGGATATCCAGGCTGGAGAAGCTTATTTGAAATAATTCTGTGAAGTCAAAAACAGAGTAAGAAATAGAGGTAGTTTATAAACCGAGCTTGTTGAACAGTCTCAAAGAGTATTTGAAACTGCCGCCTGGCCCCTGAGTTCCCCAGCTGTGATTCAGTAAGAGCGCTTCTGAAATTCTCAAGCCCTAAAGTTGAGTACAAATCCCTGCAATTCCGGGGGTCAGTTCATAGTTGGAGAGCTCCTCTGTTCCACATACATTATCTCTGAGACATGTTTTCCCTCTGCCTACGGCCCCTCTGCTCTTTAGTGTCCCACTTGGGATTCAGTCGTTTTGTTAATGAGGCTCAGGATATGAGTCTTGCCACATCACAAGACCATCCAGCTGTCAGAAACTCAAAGATCTCTCCCTGCTTTTATTCCAAGGCAATACCTGCTCCTGTTGCTCCAAAATAAACTGCTTCTTACTGCAAACCTTTTCCTCCCTCTTGTTCTTGCCACAGCAGATATTAACAGCCTATCAAATCTAGAGTCTCAATCATTAGCTACCCAAAAATAAGTTGCCTTATCCTCAAGGGCACAGAGGATTTAATTTCTTAAATTCTCCATGAGGTATAGAGAAATACTTTGCATTCCATCCTTCTAGTACATCAAAGAATGAACAAAAAAGCAAAACTGTTTTATTTCCTATTAAAACAGTCTGAGCATTCATTTGCTATCACATGATGGGCATGAACAGTCACTTAAATCCATGATGTGGGGGCCATGGGGCAACCATTGGCTCTGCAGTCCATGATGGAGTGACTTGAGCCAGGGTACAGTGACCACATGCCAGAGGCGTGCACACTTCCATCGTGGGACTGACGCTGGAAGGAAAGTAGGGAGAGGCAGGCAGGCAAAGGGGAGATTTTTATGAAGAGCATATTAAACGGAGTTTTGTAAACCTTTTTCACTTACAAATACATTCTTAACATTTTCTCATCATTAAATAAGCTTCAACATTACCTTTTTTTTTTTTTTTTTTTTTTTGAGACAGAGTTTTGCTCTGTCACCCAGGCTGGAGTGCAATGGCATTATCCTGGCTCACTGCAACCTCCACCTCCTGGGTTCCAGCGATTCTCATGCCTCAGCCTCCCGAGTAGCTGGGACTATAGTCGCGTGCCACCACATCTGGCTAATTTTTGTATTTTTAGTGGAGATGGAGTTTCACCATGTTGCCCAAGCTGGTCTTGAACTCCTGGCCTCAAGTGATCTACCCACCTTGGCCTCCCAAAGTGCTGGGGTTCAGGCATGAGCCATCATGCCCAGTCTGCTTAATTATAAATGTGCAGAACTTCATTTTTCATCCAAAACGTCCCTTATTGTAAGATACATTCTTTTTTTTTATTTCTGGCTATTACATGTGATGCCTCAATGATCATCCTTGTAAATAAATATAGCTTGCACCTTTGATTATTTCATTTGAACGCAGTCCTAGAAGTAAAATTGCTAGGCCAAAGGATGTAAGCTTTTTCAAGAAAAACTGCTAAACGTTACCAAATGCCCTTCAAAGAGTTTGTGCCAATGTACATTCTCTCTCTCAATACAGAGTGCTGGACCGTAACCCTCGAAAGGCAGTGTCTTTTTGCTCTTGAACTCAATCCTCAGACTAATGGGATTTTCTTTGCAAGCATCTCTTAAGTCAGCTTTAACCACAACTTTTCATGCTTTCAAATGCTAGTGGTTTCTTCTTTTCAACGTTAAAATACTCTGCTTATGCAATTTGTGGATTTTATAAATGCTAATAAACTGGTATATATTATGAAATTTTTATTCAAATGAGTAAGAGCTAACCTGTGTCAAATACTTTGTACCAGGCCTTATTCTTTTTTTTCTTTTTTTTTTTTTTTTTCAGACAGAGTCTTGCTCTGTCGCCCAGACAGGAGTGCAGTGGTATGATCTTGGCTCACTGCAAGCTCTGCCTCCCGGGTTCCTGCCATTCTCCTGCCTCAGCCTCCCAAGTAGCTGGGACTACAGGCACCCGCAACCACGCCAGGCTAATATTTTGTATTGTTAGTAGAGACAGGGTTTCACCATCTTAGCCAGGATGGTCTCGACTTACTGACCTCGTGATCCGCCCACCTCGGCCTCCCAAAGTGCTGGGATTACAGGCGTGAGCCACCATGCCTGGCTGTACCAGGCTTTATTCTAAGCACTATGTATGCACATATATAAATGTTCACAACTTAATGAAGTAGGTTCTGTTATTTTTTACAGAGGAATCATAGACACAAAGGGGTTAAATGGCTGAGCTGAGATTAAAAGGCAGGCATTCTGGCTCCATAATCCATCCGCAGTGAGTCTAATCACTAACAGTTATTATACTATGTCTCTGATACCAAAATTAGCTATAAATTGGCCTCTTAGAAATAACACAAATAACCTTTTTGACTGCTTGTTTTCTAGAAGTCAAGGGTACAAAAATGTATCCAAAAGTGAAGTATTAATATGCCATTTAGATTCCTAGCCCAAAAAGCTCTTTCAGCCAATGAACTCACAGACTAACATCAGTCCAGATTTAAGTTCATTGCTCTAAAACTTTGATTTTAATATATGCTCTGTCTGGGATGGCTGTAAATCTTAAGAACCACGTGAAATCTTGCCCCTTTCCCCCAAGTGTACTAATAATTTCTAGTGTGGTTAATATATATTGGATAAGTTAAGGAAATAGAAGGGTAATCCCAATTTGCTCTAGAGTATGATTGGCCTAGTCCCTATTATATCCCTAGAGAGTCTTTCTCTGCATAACTGAGACAAGATAGTATCTGGAAAAGGCATAGGGTCCTTCTCTATGGTATTGATTCCAGAGGAAGTATAAATAATCAGCATCCAATAAAGGCACATTGATCAGGACCCAGCAGGTTTGGAGGGTCTGGTAGGAAGCAGGGACTCACCCTGGGACAGGTCTTGTAACAGTGGACTTGGAGACTACTTGAAAAAATAAACAAGCTCCACAATAAGCACCACATAACCTTAAAGGAATGCCCTAAGCCCTGGAAAGACAAAAGGCCTGTGCCCAGAAGAATCATGTGCCACTAAGAGTAGCATGGGCTACTCAATCTTGATGCTGGTGCACAAACTGCTGCCAGGGACTGTTGGCCTTCCCAGGAGGTCAACCGACCATGTCCCAAAAGCAGCAAAAAAAGCTTAGTCTTGGGGCAGCCTCTGTCCCCACTTCCATGGTTATCATCCCTGGCCCTGCATGGGTACTATAACCAGAAGGGAGAAGGGCAAGTGCTCCGTGGCAATTCCACATTAGTGGCCAAGAAAAGAAATAAGACCCTGAGCACCATCTGATAGAGTGGGGCTCCTGAAATTGAGGACAGGACTTGAGTGAAAGTGACAAAGTGATTTGTACTTGATATTATCCAGGAACAAAGACTTTAGACCATATGTTCTATGTCATGCCAGTTGTTCAGGTATCCTAACAGTTAGAACCCTTTTTCACTCCCAGAGTTTCTCAGTTTGGCTGATAAATTATGCGATCAGACTTCCCATTCCAGTCAAGATGGAGCAGCCCAATTTCCTACTAGTCTTTCCTCTTACAACTTAAAAACCCTGGACGTAATGCAACAAACATAGGAAAATTGAAAGATGGAAAGAAGGAGAGGCTTCTAGGGACATCAGGACTCGAGGAACAACACAGAGGTGAGTTCCCTGGGTTTTCTTTTATCCTCTCATATATCCCAGATTGGACAATAGAGAAGCCTGCAACCCGGAACTGCCAATAGGTACAGGTAAAGAAACTTGTCCCTATAATCAAAGGACCAGAAAAAGGGCACAAGAAGAACCTTTTTGATAATGCTTACCTGCCCAAAACACCAAAGGAAAAACTGTCCATACCCACCACCTCCAGGTGTCAGTGGGGCTAAGCAGAGAGCTGAATGTCCACCCACATGTGGTGGCAACAAGCTGGGGACGTAAGTGGGCCTTCTGCTTTTGCAGGAATAATGTCAGCCAGGCCCATCAGAGAACTAAACTTCCACTATCACACAACAGCAGGGAGGCCAAGTGAGACAGTGCAAGGGACTCTTATCAACATTTCCCTTCCCCTCTGTGCTCATGCCAACTGGTGCTCTGCAATACAACTCTCGCACAAACCAGCAGAGTTCATGCAGATCCTGAAAGTTAAAGGGATCTCAACAAGACCGCTGTCACTTCAGATGCCAGCTGCACCTCAGGGGTCCCCAGGTCAATCACACTTAGGACCAAGTGTCTACAAATTCTAGAGGTCCCACGATCCTCTGATGTTTCATAATTCAATAGAAGGACTCACAGAACTCAGTAAAGCACCTTACTTATGGTTACAGTTTTATTACGCAGGATAAAAATCAGGACCAGCCAAGTGGAGAGACACATAGGTGAATCCTGGGGGGTCCTAAGTGCAGAGTTCCCATGCCTTCAACCCATGAAATCAGAGTGGGTCAAATCAATGTGTTTACCAGGCAGGTAACTCCACTGAGCTTCAGTGTCCAGAGTTTTTATTGAGGTTTCATGACATAGGCATGGTTGAGTAAATCATTGGTCACATGACTCAACTCAATCTCCATCCCCCCTACTCTCCCCAAGGTCAGGCTGGCTCCAAATCCCACCCCTCTCATCTCAACATAAACTAAGGTGCGATCCAAGGGGCTCATGAAAAACAAAGACACTCCTCTTACTTGGGAATTTCCAAAGACTTAGAGTCTCCTTCTCAGGAGCCAGGGACAAAGTCAAATCCTTTATTACACAACAACACAGTCCCTTTTCCCCCTCCCCACTCCTGGTATCGACAGTCCAAGCAAGACTTCCACCCCCACCCATTAGCTACAAGGCAGAGTGAGGCAAAGCAAGGCGGGGTCAGCTGGCACTCCACTCTGGCTGGGCTGATATCAGTGGAGCCCAGTGAGAGCTGAACATCCACTCCCATCTGGACCCACACAGTACACTTCAACAGGGTGACTGCCTGCAAAAAAGAAGAGTAAATAGGATCAGCAGTCTCATAATATGATACCCAAAGTGTCCAGAATATGACTGAAAATCACCTGTCATACCAAGAACAAGGGAAATCTCCACTTAAATGAGAAGGGACCATTGACAGAAACTGACACCAAGGTGACCCATATGTAGGAAGATATTTAAGTTGCGTGATTGACCCAACTATGAATGTAATGCAGATCATCTCATACTGGAGAAAAGTGTAATTCTGGAAGCAAGATCATTGTGAGGAATGGTTTTCAAGAGGTGGCAATGTCAGCTTTAGAGTTTTCTAGAAACAGAGTCAAGTTGAGAGAGGCAGGGGAAAGCAAAAAGCAAACAACTGGGACAGAGCTAAGACCCCTCTTGACCAGGTAGAGTCCAGCCGGTCTTGCAATCAGGCCAAGGGGAATGAGTGACCTTCAGCTTAATTCTGCACAGGTCGGTCTCCAAGGCATCATCAATGTGAGGAAGCAAGTGAGGGTTCAGATGTGGGGCCCTGGCAGTGCTCAAGGATGGTCCAGACCAGGCAGACCTGGAGAAGATGGCTCATTAGGGGTGATGAGAGATGAGGAGACCAGTTCAAACCCAAAAGGCCATTCACTTGGAGGAGAGGGGGATCTTTGGCAGTCAGCTACTTGTGGAGGTTTTCCTGTCAGCTAGAATACAAAAATATTTGCTCTCAGTATTATCCAACCTGGTGTGTGTGCGTGTTGTGTGTGTGTGTGTGTCATTTATAGCGCAGTGTATGCTAAAGGCTCTGGAAGGAAAACAGAGGTCAATGGAGACAAGTATGGCAATCCTAGTACTGGGAAAGATGTAGGAAGCAAACCTCTGTTGCCCATAGACTTTGGATTTGAGGTTGATGTTGAAAGTGGAGAGTTGCTTTCCAGGCAGAGTTTGGGATGATGCTGAGGATGATCTCAGTGTGGGAGAGCAGGGCTGATGATAGCCATGCCGTGGCTTGGTCACAGGAGCTTGAAATGGAACTTGTTCCATTGAGACACGCAAACCACTGATTCTACAAGCTTAACATTAACGGGTCAGGTCATGAATCCTTCCTCTGTACTCTCCCAGCTCATCACAACTGCTTTGAACCATATGTATTTGTGTGTGTGTTGTGGCGGGTAAATTGTGAGACAGCAAGGAGGCACTGTGACCTTGAATATTGATCCCTATATCAACCCCTTTGTCCATATACTACAAAATCTGAACACACACACCAGCTTGGATCATGCTGAGAACAAAGAGATTTGCATTCTAGCTCACAGAAAAACTTCCCAAACTAGCTGACTGCCAAAGACCCCCTCTGCTCCAAGTGAGTGGCTTCTGAGTTTGGGCTGGGCTCCTCATCTCCCTTCACCCCTAATGAATCCTCTTTTCCAGGTAGTCGCCTGGTCTGCACTGTCTCTGAGCACTGCCTGGGCCCCACATCCGAACCCTCACTTGCTTCCTAACATTAGTGATGCCTTGGAGACCAACCTGTGCAGAATTTTGTTGGAGGTGGCTCACAGCCTTTGGCCTGGTTACATGACCTGCTGGTCTCTACCTGGTCAATGAAGGGGTCTTAGCTCTGCTCCAATTATTTGCATTTTGCATTCCTCTGCCTCTCTCAACTTTATCCTGATTCAGAAAACTCTAAGGTTGACACTGCCACCTCTTGAAAACCATACCTCACAACCATCTTGCTTTCATAATTAAGCTCTTCTTTAGTAAAGTCCTCCTGAGTTGGTTTCAGTGTCTGCCATCTTGGTGTTGGTACTGTTGACTGTCTCTTCTCACTCGAGTGGAGATTTTCCCAGTCTTGGTGGGGTGAGTGATTTTCAGTCCTACCCTGGATACTCTGGATCTCATGTTGCCAAGAGCATCGGATCTTGGAAACACCTGAAGGCGCTAAGCAGCGCCCACGCCACCCCCAGATAAAAAAACTCCTTTCAGATCTGTATTGGTTCACTAATCACTCTCAGGGCCAGACATACCAATCTTCTCAGGGAATCTTCAAAGTGGGAAGGACACAAAATTAGGGTAATTTGTTCTTCCCCTCCAAAGGGTGTCAAATATCATAAGGAAAAAAACTAAGAAAACACAACTTGAAATTCCCCCAAGCTTCCCAAGTTTGAAAAACACATTTCTCAGAGGAAAGCCTCTGATTTCCATACCTCCAACCTATAAAACAGAGAAAACACGAAGTCTGGCAGGCCCTGGGCTAAAGAGCTATTTATTATGGCACAGCCAGTTGTCACCGTCCACATGAAGTCATCTGGGCCTGAGCATGTGAGGCGGTTGGCTTGGAAGGCCGTGACATTCCTTGAGCTATGGAATATTGTTTTGGCAAAATACTGAAAGTGGCTGTATGTTGTCACCCTCAGGAAACCGTCCAATGCCTCCCTCATCCAGTTCCTCATGAGCCCGCCATTCCCCTCAGACACAATCCCCTCTCCCTGGGCATCCTCTGTGGACACACTCTTCGTGTGCTGGGAGGGACACCACACCTCCCAACAGAACAGAAAGGTGTCAAGGCGACCTGACCAGGGCCCTGGAGAAGGAGCCTCTATCTGTGCAGCAAGACACAGTAGGGACTCGGCCACAGCCAGCATTCTTTCAGAAGAGCTGATGGGGGAAGTGAGGAATAGGAGGTGTTCTTGGCAGGGGACCAGGACTCCGAAGCCTTCCTCAAGCAGAAGGGCCTCAGTGCTGCTTGCCAGCTCGTACTTTTTCAGCTGACTAGATGTGAGAGAAAACTTTGCAGAGAAAATGGAAAAACGTGTCTTAGAAATAAACCAGTGCCAGTCCAAGTTTCTGTTGTATTGCTGTGCCTTGTGGCCTGCCCTGGCCCATGGTCATGTTGAGATGGCTTGCCGTGGCATGCCGTCCCAGCTCTGAGATGAGGCGTGTTTCAGAGAGCTCACTTTCACCTGGGTGAGCCGTTATAAAATTGTCCCCTTTTAGAGAATTGGGATTTTAGAGCTGGAAGGAATCTTAGAAATCAACTAGGCCGGGTATGGTGGCTCACACTTGTAATCCCAACACTTTGAGAGACCGAGGTGGGTGGACGAGCTGAGGTCAGGAGTTCGAGACCAGCATGGCCAACATGGTAAAACCCCATCTGTACTAAAAATACAAAAATTAGCCAGATGTAGTAGCACACGCCTGTAGTCCCAGTTACTTGAGAAGCTGAGGCGGGGGAATCAGTTGAACCCGTGAGGTGGAAGTTGCAGTGAGCTGAGATCGTGCCACTGTACTCCAGCCTGGGTGACAGAGTGAGACTCCGTCACAAAAAAAAAAAAAAAAAAAAAAAAAAAAAAATCAGCTACTCTAACACTTACTTTCACTGATGAAAAGATGAGGCTCACAGACGTTAAGTAACTTATACCAACTTTTTACACAGCAATCCAGTTGCAGACCCAGGAATGGTGCTGAGGTCTCCAGAGGATGCAGAACTCTTTCTATCTCAACCATAGACTCTCTACAGCTTTTGTTTGAGCCTGATTTCCAAATTGACCCTAAATTAAAATATTTTGTTTTAAAATTAAAATATTTTAAATGAAGATACCGAAAAACAATTCAAACCTTTAGATACCTTCCTAAATTTCTGTGCTTCTTTGGAGCAAATAATACATTATTTTATTTATTTATTTATTATTTTTGTGATGGAGTTTCACTCATGTCACCCAGGCTGTAGTGCAGTGGTATGATCTCAGCTCACCGCACCCTCCACCTCCCGGGGTCAAGCAATTCTCCTGCCTCAGCATCCCAAGTAGCTGGGATTACAGGCGCCTGCCACCATGCCCAGCTAATTTTTGTATTTTTAGTAGAGATAGGGTTTTACCGTGTTGGCCAGGCTGGTCTCCAACTCCTGACCTCAGGTGATCCGCTCACCTCAGCCTCCCAAAGTGCTGGGATTACAGGTATGAGCCACCATGCCCAGCCTCGATTTTAGAATTTAAGCCATCAAAATGTGAAGTGCCCAATGTAACCCTATTCAACAGAATCAAATGATTTCAGACTTCGAGATGTTTAGAATGGCATTTTAAGTCAACCTCTGGTTTGGGGGCAGTGCCATAAGTAAACATGCCATGGTCATGCTTGCTATGTCATTTGATTTATTTGGAGCCTTTAATTTAGTCATGACCTATTCACCTAGCACCTCATCTTTCTTTCTTTCTTTCTTTTTTTTTTTTTTTTGAGATGCAGTCTCACTCTGTTCGCAAGCTGGAGTGCAGTGGTGTGATCTCGGCTCACTACAACCTCCGACTCCCTGGTTCAAGCAATTCTCCTGCCTCAGCCTCCGGAGTAGCTGGGATTACAAGCACCCACCACCATGCCCAACTAATTTTTGTCTTTTTAGTAGAGACGGGGTTTCACCATGTTGGCCAGGCTGGTCTCAATCTCCTGACCTTGTGATCCACCTGCTTCAGCCTCCCAAAGTGCTGGGACCACAGGCGTGGCCACTGTGCCCAGCCAAACCTCATCTTTATTACAGGAATCAAATCATCATAGTAAGAATGGGATTGAAGCAAGATAGGTAGTCAAAGAAGTGACCGTGTCCTCAAGACACAGCAACCTTGGTGACCATACTATCAACAAAAATGAGTCTCAGCATTCACATTGTAATTGAGCTCATTCCAGCAAAGCTATCGTCAGTTGAGAATTTCCCCCATAGAGGGCATGTGCCCTTTGATTTTACCTGTCTTCAAACTGACGCTTTGCTCATTTTCATAGTAAAAAACATAGCCCGGGTAGAGATATAAGATGCTAATGAGACCTGAGATGTACGAACAAGCATGTACAGCTGCTGTGTGTGTGCGCCCAGAGGACCACCTAGAACATGCTTACCAGTAACACCTTTTCCCACCTCCTTATGAATAATTATGTAGGGATCCCATAAAGGGAGCCTCCCTAGTGTCAGTCTCTGCTGTCTCATCCTGAATCCAATCTCTCTCAGGGTATACTGCCATTCTGCCCCTAACTTTCTACATATTCTTTTTCTTTTGCAATAAATTACTCTGCTATACCTTCTTTGCAGTGTGTCTCTTGTTTAAATTATTTTAAACTAAGAAGACAGGAACTGAGGTATCCCAACAGCCGTCAACAGGGTTAGTATGTCAGACATGCTGATGACATTCCTGGCCAATAACACAAAGCCAAGAAAGTGGATACTAGGTAGGACATATGTTTAACCTAATGTAGAACATTCACAAACAATACACAGGCAGTTCTGGGGTTTGTATGTTTTCCATAAAGCAATCATTGGTGAATACCTGTACTGACAAGAAGATAGGGTTCATATTCCTTACAGAATATGTTATTTAGATAAACACCAACTGCTCATTGAACAAAGTCTTTTATGAGTCTATATTTTGGAGACACTACCCCTCCCAGACTTGTTCTCAGAGGCATCGGTATCTCCAGGTGGTTGATGATGGCCCCCAAAAGCTATGTCCACCCAGGACCTGTGAATGTAAACTTCTTTGGAAAAAGGATCTTTGAAGATGGAATTAACTTAAGGATTTCAAGATGAAATCATTTTTGATTATCTGGATGGGCTCCAAATCCAGTGACGTGTCTTTTTATTTATTTATTTGTTTATTTATTGAGACAGAGTCTCACTCTGTCACCCAGGCTGGAGTGTAGTGGTGTGATCTCAACTCACTGCAACCTCCACCTCCTGGGTTCAAGCGATTTTCCTGCCTCAGCCTCCCAAGTAGCTGGGATTACAGGCGCCCACCACCACACCCGGCTAATTTTTGTATTTTCAATAGAGATGAGGTTTCACCATGTTGGCCAGGCTGGTCTCCAACTCCTGACCTCAGGTGATCCACCCATCTCAGCCTCCCAAAGTGCTGAGATGACAGACATGAGCCACCCTTGTCCAGCCATGATGTGTCTTTATAAGGAGAGAAGATAACACAGACATACAGGAGAAGACACAGAGAAGCCCACGGGAAGGTGGAAGCAAAGATTGGAGTTGGAGAGGTTGGAGCTGCAGCAAGTCAAGGAATGCCCGGAGCCACCAGAAACTGGAAGAGGAAGGATTCTCCCTGCAGCTTCAAAGGGAAAGTGGCCCTGCAGACACCTTGATTTGGGCCCAGTGAGACTGATTTCAGACTTCTGGCTTCCAGAACTATGAGAGAATAAAGGTCCTTGGCTATGGCCACATCACTGCAGTTTCTGCCTCCAAGGTCACATCGTCTTGTCCTCTGTATGACTAATCTCCCTCTGCCTCTGTCTTACAATGACACTGTGATGGCATTTAGGGCTCACCCAAATTACCGAGGATAATCTCACCTCAAGATCCTTAACTTAATTATTCCTGCAAAGTATTGGATCCTTTTTCCAAATAAAGTTACATTTACAGGTTCCAGGGAGTAGGACCTAAGATCTTTGGGGAGCCATTATTCTGCGTACCACAACTTTCAAATCATGCTGGCTTTAACGTAGTTTAAGACCAACATGGGTGGTGGTGGCCCTCCTCCGTCTTGTGGTGTGCCATCTGGAACACTTGGCTGCCGGGGTCACAGCAACAAAGAAAGAAGAGAGATGGGAAAGGACTCCAGGCTCTTACCTACCTTTGCCTGAAATTGACTAACATCAATTCTGCTCACAGCTCATCGGCCAGAAGTAATCATGCGAACCTGACCTAACTGCAAAGAAGGTCAACATATGTAAGGAGGCAAGAGGGCATTTGGTGAACACTGACTATCTCTGCAACATGCTGAGGGAGGTCATCAAATTAGGTGGGGATATACCATGGCAGACAACTACTGCTCTCTCACCCAGCACCATCCTCTCTTCCTCCACTACAGCATCCCCCTCCTTTGCCGAACTGCACTTCCCCACACAACTTAGTTCCAGTCTCAAAGTTGGCAGCATGACCCTGTCTGTCCAAAGTGTTACCATGGAGCTTTCCATTTGGATGTTAAGAGGAAAAGATATCTCTTCCTTTGCCAAGCTGGTGCAATGCAGTTCTGACACTCACTACCCTGTGCCCTGTGTTAAGGGCACAGTCCTCCATGGACTGCCCTCACTTCAGACACCAGCTGCTAGTTCAGAGGTCCCAGGGCTACCCACACTCCTGACCAACTGCTACAAATTTAACGTTTCCCACCAATTATCAAGAATAATCAGGTTAGATAATTCACTGGAATAACTCACAGAACTTAAGAAAACACTATACTCAATATCCCAGATTTATTACAGCACAAAGATACAAATGAGGACCACACAAATGAAGACACACATGGGCTGATGTCAGGGAGGGCTCCAAACATGAAGCTCCCATGTCCTCAGGAGGCATCACCCTCCAGCGCACGGATGTACGATCATCAGAGTTTTTATTGGGGTTTCCTTCTGTAGGTCTGATTGCCTGAGTCATCAGCCATGTGATTGAACTCAGCCTCCACTACCCTACCCTCTCAAGAGGTTGGCTGATATTTCTGGCTCACAGCCCCAGCTCTCTAAAGGTTGGTTTTTCTGGCTGAGCAGCCTCCATCCTGAAACTGTCTAGGGGCTGACCATGAGTCACCTCTTCAGTATAAATCAGGTGTGGTCTAAGCGGCCCACAGCGAATAACAACGGCACTCCTATGACTCGGGAAATTCCAAGAGTTTAGAGGCTTCTTCCCAGGAACCAGGGCCAAAGGCTTGCCAGATTCCTTAAACAACAGCTGGGTGATAAAAGTCTGTAGCCATGTGCAGCCAGGTCCACTCACTCCTCTGCCCACCCCACCACCTACCATCTAGAGGAAACCATCTATAATAAGAGAGAAGAAAACCAACACAGAAGGAGAATTGGAGATGAGAGCGGCAGAATGGGAACAAGCCCTGGCAAACATAATCGGATTCCTGTGAGGCATCCCTGTCTTTCCCACTTACAGCCAGTAAAGCTCGACTCTTGCTTAAGCCACAGGCAGTTGAATTCCTGTCACTTGAAACCAAAAGAAACAAATATCCTGGTCCTTCAGTAGCATACTCTCTCACTGAGGGCTGAGACATGCAAATGAGAAATTAATTAACAGTTGGTGGGCAAACATTTAAGGATAAACACACAGCCATTTACGAGTAAGGACCAAAACAGGAGGACAAAACTTTTCCCTGCGAAGGCTTGAGAGCTATGAAATTCACCTTTGTTCCAGTTCTCCCTTTATTCTATAAAATGCCAGTGTGTGAAACGACAGGACAAACTCTCTATGAAACCTACCTAAGAGTTGGCAGAAAGAACACAAGGAAGAGAGGAATCCCCGCAATAATCCACCTTATCCTTACTGCAGGGTGTGTTTCGTTATCTCCAAGGTAGTGGAGTAGGTTAGAAGGAGAAGCAGAATCACAAAATTCTAAAAATACATATTGATGTTAAAACGGAAATGTCCATTAAGTTTCATTTGCTTTTAAAAAATATTAATTTACACTCACCAAAATAAACTGAAAGGTGCATTTCAGCAAATCAAAGGTGGGGAGTGGTGATGACAAACCACACAAGTGATGACGTTTTCCCCCTTACGAAGTACTGGAAATCACTGCTTTATACAATAGGTGTGTTTTTGAGAATCTCTCAGACACTGGATGACTCAAAGCCTAGTTTACCACTGATTTCCAAGATGATGTCAGCAACGCAGTCTGCTCCATTCAACCTGGCAATCGGCTCTGTGCAGGCGATGCCCCACCTGCCCCTGCTGGACACATAAGTGATGCAAAAACAAGTACTGAGCAGGCAGCACTTCTCTGAGAAGTATGTTTCATGGCACCAGCAGAACCTTAACTCTGCTGTGGGTGTGCTGGGTGGAGATAGGCAGGCAGAGCTCCAGTCTGGGTGTGTCTCACTAATGTTCTACAGAAAGCTCCCTTCCTCAGAGGTGAAGTTGTCAGCTTCAGGGTGAGCTGGTGGGTCCCCAAGGGCAGGTTCCACCTCCAACATCAGTTCATAGACCTTTGTCCAGGAGCTTCAGTGTCCATAAACCTGAGGACACTGGACAGGGCTGGTAAGAGTGTCATTATTGGCCAGGTGCGGCGGCTCACCCCTGTAATCCCAGCACTTTGGGAGGCTGAGGCAGGTGTATCACGAGGTCAGGAGATTGAGACCATCCTGGTTAACACAGTGAAACCCTGTCTCTACTAAAAATACAAAAAGTTAGCCTGGCGTGGTGGCAGGTGCCTGTAGTCCCAGCTACTCAGGGGGCTGAGGCAGGAGAATGGCATGAACCCGGAAGGCGGAGCTTGCAGTGAGTGGAGATCGCCCCACTGCACTCCAGCCTGGGTGACAGTGCAAGACTCTGTCTCAAAAAAAAAAAAAAAAGAGTATGATTATTGACAATCCACAGGCTCAGGAACTGGTAGACAGTATTTGGCAAAATGGTCTGCTGAATGAGCACCTCCAACTACACGCTGAGATGTCCTTTTGTAGTGCAAAGCATGTCTCTGCTAACATGACATCACACCCACAGGCCTGTAATTTTGGTAAATTTTGAACCCTAAGATAATAGATAATATACCTCACCTCTACCCAGTTGGTGTATCAATAAGCCAAAAATGAGTTTCCATGATAACCAACTGCTTCCAAGACTGTGGTTTAGAAAATGGGAGCTTCAGAATATAACAACAGCACCTAGGAAACTAGTATGAACCATCTGCCCAGCAGCGGGGCCAGCTGAGACTTGAGAATTGAGGAAAATAAGGACAATTTATTTGTATTCCCTATGTGCCAGGTGCGGTATTAAGAATTGTATACATATTTTCATTAATTCTCACAGTAATCCAACATGATAGATATTATAATCCCCATTTTCCAGATGAGGAAACTGAGGCTGAGAGATGTCCAATAGGTGGTGGAACCAGGATGCAAATGCCCATCCAGCTCCAAAACCCTCATTGCAAACTCCTGCTCCTGTGCAGCCAACACTGCTGATTGCCTTCCACCTGCCGTTACCTGCCTCTTCGACACTTGCAGAATCCCAGTTTTATACTAGCAAGTAGCCTCTCCCCAATTATCCAAGTAGACTGTTAGTGCTCTAAGCCAGCACCATCCAAGAGAAACAGAACGTGAGCCAAAATGCAAGCTACATGTGCAATTTCAAATTTTGTGGTGGGCAAAACAAACATAAAAGAAAAAAATAATTTTATAACCTATTTCATTATTTGTTTCATTAAACCCAAAGTATCCAAAATATTATCATTTTGACATGTAATCAAATCACAAATGAAATATGATTAGATTATAACTAGATAAGTACAGTAAAGAGGAGAAAGCAAAGCAAGTGGACAGAGGGCGATGGGTGAGGAGGGTGCTATCTTCACTGGACTGGTTTGCACACTTTGAGCAGACACAAGAAGGAAGTGAGGAGTGAGCCACGAGAACCGAGAGTGCCTGGGAGGCAGCCTCAGCTGGGGGAAGGCAGTGCAAAGGCCTGAGCGGGGACTTCCAGGCAGGCTTGGGGGTCTGAGGAATGCCAAGAGTGTCATGCTGCTTGAAGGAGGTGAAGGGAAGAAGGAGGGGCTGATGTCAGAGAAGCAGGGTCTGAGGCCAGAAGGGACTCCCAGGCTACTGCAAGGACTCTGGCTTTTAACCTGAGCCAGGTGAGCAGCACGGAGGGTTTTCGGGAGGTTTTACCATGCTCGCTCCTGAAGTGGGCAAGACTGGAGGGGGCAAGTGGGATCCTAGAGGCAAGTCCGGAGGCTGCGGCAAGTCTCCAGGTGAGACGTGGCAGCGCTTTGAACCAGCGTGGCAAGGAGCTGTTGGAATCTGGATATAATTCGAAGATTTGCTGGTGCTTGGGAAATGTCAGGGAAAGAGAAGAGTCGAGGATCCCTTCAAGATTTGAGGGTGGAGAAAACAAAATAACGGGGTTGCCATTTACTGCAATGGGGACATCTGGAGGAAGAGCAGGCTTGGAGCAGAGAAGAAATCAAGAGCTCAGTTCTGATGTGTTAAGTTTAAGACACCAATTAGACATTTCATAGGCAAGTTGAATCTGTGGATTTGTAAGGCGGATTTGTGAGTCTGGAGTTTGGTAGTGAGGTCCAAGTAGAAGGTCTAGATTTGGGAGACATCAGCATATAAATGGCATTTAAAGCCAAGAGATAGGATGAGACCCCCCAAGAGAGAGAATGTGAACAGAGAAGAGAGGTCTGAGGACTGGCCCACTGGTATTTCCATGGTTGAAGTCCAGAAAATCAGAAGGATCCCACAAAGAGACAGAAAAGGAATCTGTGTGCTGTAGGAGGGGAACGGGAAAGGCCACAGAGGGAGTGAGCAACTATGCCAAGGGCTGCCAATAAGTCGAGCAAGGAGCATTAGCCACTGGGCTTGTCGATGCATCTGGGACCTTGATAGGTATAGTTTCAGCAGAGTATGGGGCACGAAAGCCTGACTGGAGATGATTAGAAAAAGCTGAAAGGAACAGAGGGAGAGTCAGCAAGGGAGGGCAACTACTTGGAAGAGTTTTGCTATAAAGGAAATAAAAGAAGTTGTGCTTTCACATGTATGTTCATCGCAGCACTATTCACAATAACAAAGACATGGAATCAACCTAAATGCTCATCATTGGCAGATTGGATAAAGAAAACATGGTACATATACACCATGGAATACTATGCAGCCATAAAAAGGAACGAGATCATGTCCTTTGCAGGAACATGGATGCAGCTGGAGGCTATTATCCTTAGCAGGCTAACGTAGGAACAGAAAACCAAATACCGCATGTTCTCACTTGTAAGCGGGAGCTAAATGATGAGAATACATGGACACAAAGAGGGGAACACAGACACCGGGGTCTACCTGAGGGTAGAGGGTGGGAGGAGGGAGAGAATCAGAAAAAAATGACGATTGGGCACTACACTTAGAACCTGAGTGATGAAATAGGTTGTACAAAAAACCTCCCTGACACGAATTTACCTATTTAACAAACCTGTACATGTACCCCTGAACCTAAAATAAAAGTTTAAAAAATAAAAAAGTAAATAAATAAATAAGAAGTTGTTTTTTTCAGATTGGGAGATATTTCAGGGTTTTTGTGTGTGCCATCTTGCTTATGTGTAACATTATTCAGCAGAATAGAAACTGGATTTTGGAGAAGGGAAAGGTGATAAGGGAACAAATGAAATCTTTAGGTAGGCAAGGTGGGAGCATAGAGGTGCACAGTCCGGAGGAGCGAGAGTTAGATAGGAACACAAACAGCTTACCCATCGTGCTCCAAATAACACCCCAAATAATAATCTGAATTAACAAGTACAAAGCTAACAGTGAAGATTTGAGGTACTTTCCAAAAAAGATTATTGCCGTAAAATAGAAGTTTGAAACCTCTTGTCATGCGAGGTGATCAGTCTTACTGCATAAGCCATTTCATTTGGGTTTTCTGCTGTCTACAACCAAAACAACAGCCTAACAGAAACACTTCACTAAACCTTACAAAAGTTTAACAAGTGATTTGCACTATCAGTCAAGGTGTGGGTTTTGAAAACAAAGAGACCAACAGGCAAAGCAGAGATGCGGGAACTTCAGGAAAAAAGACACTCGGCTGCCTTCTGAGGCCGCCAGACAGAAGCTTGAAGCAAGAGAATTCCAAATGCTCTAAGTCTTTATAATTTCACTCTCTTATCCCTTTGTTCTAGCCCAATGACCCTCTCAATGAAAACAAAGGCCGACTCTCTCCCAGCACACTTGTCCTGTTCTGAGGTAATTTCCCTGGAGTGACCCATTCCTCTGCCGGAAGTGGAGGTGTTGTCTGGCAGGAGACAGCAAGAGTCAGCAGAAGACCCCGGACGCCTCCTACGCCTGAGGGATTTCCAGCATCCATAGACGCATGTCATTCTTAGTCACACCTTCATTTTAAAGATGGAGGAATGGGTGGCAGGAGGGAAATCTGTTACATATTAGTTTCCAGACACTTACTCCTGTGGAGCCATCCTAAGCATCAAGGGTAGAAAGAACGCCTGTGAAAAACTTTGGTCTTGAGAACAAAAGGGTAGTGGAAGGGGAACTCATTAAAGGACCAGCTTTAACATCTACAGTCTTTCCATAGAATTTAGCCCTGAACTTTTCAGTTAATGACAACAATTAGATTCATCTCCTTGGCTACAGTGCAAATTCTTATTAGAGACCATTGTTTCCTGCCTCTCTGTTCCTCTAATGCCACTAATTGATTGACCGATTGGTTGATTGATTGAATTATTGGCTGCCTTTGTTGGGAGATTGGTTGGTTGCTAGAAGGAAGACCTTTTCTATCAAATAACAAAAAAGAACAGTTTAAACATGCCTGTATTTTGAGAAATTTGTACAGAAAACGGAAAGTGATTTTGATACTACACAGATGGAAGGTGGAGCCAGGCAAAGTGGTGATCAAAACTTTCACCTGTAGGGTGGAACTGTTATCTTTTTTCAAGTGGAAAAGAGAAAATCATCTGACAAAAGGTGAAATTAGGCCAGGCACCTGTAATCCCAGCACTTTGGGAGGCCAAGGCAGCTGGATCACCTGAAGTCAGGTTTTCAAGACCAGCCTGGACAACATGGTGAAACCCTGTCTCTACTAAAAATACAAAAAATTAGCCAGGTGTGGTGGTGCATGCCTATAATCCCAGCTACTATGGAGGCTAAATCAGGAGAATCACTTGAACCCGGGAGGCAGAGGTTGCAGTGAGCTAAGATCGTGCCAATGCACTCTAGCCTGGGCGACAGAGCAAGACTCCATCTCCAAAAAAAAAAAAAAGTGAAATTAGGTAAATTGATCTGTTTTTCCCTTAATAATAAAAAGTGACTCTCAAAGTTAACTTATGGAACAGATATTATTATTCTGAAGTAACAATAGTACTCCAAATAATAATCTGAATTAACAAGTACAAAGCTGACAGTGAAGATTTGAGGTACTTTCCAAAATAGATTATTGCTGCAAAATATAAGTTTGAAAACTAGATAAACAGAGTTAATCATGGAAATTGTAGGGTTTTAGTTTTAAAGATTTTATATGGAGAATTTCAATAGTATAATAATATATAATTTCAATAGCAAAAGAGTATATAATTCAAATAGTGTAATAGTATATCATTTCAGTGGTATAATAGTATATAATTTCAATCATATAATTACAATAATATAATGAACCCATCCCCCAGTGTCAAGAATTGTCAACACATGACAATCTTCTTCCACATGCCATCCCCGCTTTACCTCCTTCCAGCCACACTGGAGCAAACCCGGATACCCTATCATTTCATGCAAATACCTCAGTATGTGTTTCAAAAAGATCAGGAGTTTGCTGAGGGTATGTGGTTTGACATAACCACAACACTGCTCCCACATCTAAAAATTAATCATTCTTTAATATCACAGTCACTGTTTGAATTGAGAAGGAATCTTTTGAGAGGGTTCCCTGTAATTGAATATGTTTTACTTTAACATATTTTTAAGTTAAAATGAATATAAACATTATGCACAAGCATAAATATATAATAAAGTAAAATGTAAACTGTGTATAAACTTTTTTGGTTTGTTTTACTTTCTAAAAATTTCTTCAAATATACATAGAATTTAACATAAATATATAAGTGTGGTAATACATATGCTGTTTGGGTTGAGGGGGGAATTTTTTTTCTTGGACTGTTTTTACCCATTTGTCCATATAATAGTAATCCATCAATTTAGTTGCTGCCTTCTGATTTTTTTCTCCAACTTTACACTTCTCACTTCTCTTCTAGACATTGAGGATACTGTGTGAAAAATAAACAAAGTCTCTTGTTGCTTGAGCTTACTTTCTAGTGTTACAGGTATTTATGCATGTAAACATAGACTACACATAGAAAGAGTGATATTTAACTGTAAACATATTAAATATCATTTTCTGAATCTTGCTTTTCTTACTTAACACCATCAAATCAACTGGTTTAGTTCTATTTATCCTTTTTGATGCTTGCATAATACGTTAATATATCCCATCAATTGTTTGGCCATTTTCCTAATAATAAATCTGCCCTTTGTCTACAGGTTTTTAGCAGGTGGGCCACTAGAGGCATCCTGACTCTAGTGTCATTTACCTCTGGTGTTTTTTCGTTTTCTTTTCCTTGTGGATTAGATTCCAAGGAGTACAATTTCCAGCTCAACAGATATTTATACTTTTAATATATAAAGATCTGAGTTTTTTTTTAAAAAAAGAACATGTTGAAGGAGAGATACCAAGAGACTGGCAGGCAGGAATAAAGGGAAAGAATTTTCCAGGAGGATGACGATCGCCTGTGTCAAATATGAAGTCCAGGGCCTGGGAGGCTCTTCTCATTCTTTCTGCCCAAACACATTTAAGATTTTTCTCTTTCCACCACAAAAAAATGATAAGTATGTGAAGAAATACATATGTTAATAAGCTCAATTTACAATGTAGACATATTTCAAAACATGTTTTACAAAATAAACATACACAATTTTGTCAATTTAAAAAATGAATAAATAAATAAGATTTTTCCCTTAAGATAGTTAATTTTTTTCTAAAAGGCAGGCTCTCAAGAGAATGAGAAGACAAGCCACAAACTGGGAAAAAATATTTGCAAATGATACATCCGAGAAAAGACTGTAATCCAAAATATACAAAGAACTCTTAAAACTCAACAATGAGAAAATGAATAACCCAGTTTAAAAATGGGCCTAAGATCAAAACAGACACCTCAGCAAAGAAGATATACAGATGATAAACAAGTATATGAAAAGCTGGGCCCACGTCGCACATCAGTAGACAACTGCAAACCGAAACAATGAGATACCACTACCCATCTATTAGAATGGTGGCAATCCACAATGCTGATGATGCCAAATGCTGGGGGGATGTGGAGCAATTGGAGCTCTCATTCACTGCTGGTGGGAGTATGCAAAATAGCACAGCTACTTCAGAAGACAGTTTGGCATTTTCTTATAAAACTGAACACACTCTTAAAATATAATCCACCAACTACAGTCCTTAACATTTTCACAAATGAATTGAAAAACTATATCTACACAAAAACCTGCACATGGATGTTTACAGCAGCTTTACTCATAATAGCCAAAACCTGGAAGCAACCAAGATGTCCTTCAGTGGGTGGAAGGATAAATGAACTGTGGTACATCTAGATAATGGAATAGTATTCAGTGCCGAAACAGAAATGAGCCATCAAGTCACCAAAAAGACGTGGAAGAACCTTAAATGCACATTACTAAGTGAAAGAAGCCAATCTGAAAAGGCTACATGCTGAGTGGTCCCACCTATATGACACTCTGGAAAAGGCAAAGCTATAGAGATGGTGAAAAGATCAGTGGTTTCCAGGGACCTGGGGAGGAAGGGCTGAGTAGGGGGAGGGCAGGGGATTTTTAGGGCAGTGAAACTACTCTGTATGGTACTATAATGGTGGATACATTCCTTAAAACCCACATAGAACGTACAACAAGAGGGAACCCTGGGTAAAGGAACTTTGATAATGATGTGTTAATGTAGGCTCATCAATTATAACAAATGTATCATGCTGGTGAGAAATGTTGATAGTTTGGGAAGCTATGGAGGGTGGAAAGGAGGGTGGGAAGCTATGGAGGGTGGGAAGGAGGGTGGGAAGCTATGGAGGGTGGGAAGGAGGGTGGGAAGCTATGGAGGGTGGGCACATGGGAATTCTTTATTTTCTGCTTGATTTTGTTGTGAATCTAAAACTTCTCTTAAAAATAGTGTATTAAATTTGAAAACAAAAAAAACAGAGGCTCAGGTTTGCTTCAGTTCAGGGAAGTTTTCTTTTATTGTTAGTATCATGGTCACCTCTCCTCCGTTGGTTCTATTTTTTCCTCTTTCTGCAAGTCAAGGTTTCTCTATTCACAAGTCAAGGTTTTAGGATCCATCCCATGTTCCTTACCCATTTCTACTTGCTTCCCATCTCTTTCTACATTTGCTCTATACCACCCTTTTCATCAAGGGGTCTGTCTGCCCTTTGACCCTCCAGGAGAGCTGACCATATCTTCACGGTGATCTTCCACTTTTTCAGTTAATCTACTGAATGGTATTTAGTTAGGAAATTATGATTTTTAGCTCCAGAAACTCTTTTTGTGCCATATTTGAATCTCCTTCAATGCTCTGATTTTGAAATTCATACTGTCTTGTGTCTCCTACACCAGCTCTGCCTGTGCTGCCTCACCCTTCTCTCCCTGGAGAAAGGCCCCTCCAAGAGGCTGTTGCTTTTCTTTGTTGGCTTCTGGTAGATGTGCTCCTGAAGGCAACTGTCTCAAAGGTGGGAGGAGGCAGCGCACTTGCCAGTGTGGCTCGGGTTATGAAAGCACAGGCTTTTAGTCCCCTGCTGAGGATCCTGCACAAAGCCTCTACTTCCAGCTTCAGGGCCAGGAAAGACTCAGCCCACACACCCAGTTGCCTCTTGACCCCTTCAGGGCCAGAGAGAGCAGGTCCACTCACTCAGGACTCATGTCAGCCTTCTCCCCACGACTCCTTCAGAGCCCCAGCTCTCCTTGAACCCAGCTCCGCACTGAGCACAGCAGTAGCCTCCCTTAGAAGAAGGGAAGAGAGACTAGAGCCAGAGCAGAGGGTAGGTGAGCTAGGTTCACTGGGGGAGCGCCAGCATGAACCCTCAGACAATCACGACTTCCAACCAAAGTCCAAGCAGGAGCAGCTTCAGAAAACACTCCAGCCTTCTGGTGGTCCACATTGTTCTTCCTTACTGTTGATGGTATTTTGGTGGAAACAGTGGAGAAAAACTGAACCACTGAAAGCTGAAAGAACAGGTAAGTGAGAATGACCAGGTACACTGAAAACAGATGCTTAGAAACATGACGATCTTTAAAAGGAGTTCTTAGACCAGGACTACCTGGTTCAACTGCACTTAGCCAGTCATACAGATTAATATGTGTTACAGCTAAATGTCTGTAGCAGGCAAACCCCCAAATCTCAGTGGCTTAACCTTGTAGAACGTTATTTCCACTTACATAAAATCCAGTTGGAGAGATGGTATACTCCATGAAGTCACTCAGGGGCCCAGGCTGACAGAGCCTCTGCATCCTTCAACAGCAGATACTCAAGTCTATTCAAGAGTCGATATGTAGTCAGCAGACATGAGGAAAAATCAAGACTTTTTCCTGGGAGGTGTTTCTTTGCCCATCATGGAGGTTACCCACATTAACTCCACTCATATTCCATTGGCCAGAATTCCATTACATGATCTTACCTAGCTGCAGGGGAGGCTGGGAAATGCAGTCGCAGGAAGAAAGGAAATCAGGTCTGTTGAGTGTGTGGCACATCTTCCCAGAAAGCCCGATTCATGAATATATACTGTGCTTATAACCCACTAAGATCCTCTATTTCCAAACCGTATTAATTACCTAGACCTCCAAAACTAACATAATTTTTCAGATTTCAGCTTTTGACAAATCACTTGTTTTGTAAGTTTCCTCATTGTTGTCAACTTTAAGGGAATTCTGCATTTATCCAAGTGATCTAATGAAAATCCTAAACAGTAAATGTTTTCAGTAAGTAGGATATTACTTATGAAATGTATTAAAAGCTTAATAATATAAATGGACCTCCAGGTATATTGCATTACTAGGTTACAAAGAAAAAGAAATTTCAACCAAATGTAGCAGTAGTCCGAGCGGCCAGCTTTCTCAGTCAAGTGCAGCAGGACCCGCCTGGCCAGAGGATGCCAGACCAGAGGCCACCTGGTCAGCAACCTTGTTGTCTTTTGACCCAAGATGCAAAAACGATAGCATAGAAGAGCCATGTTCTGGTAAATAAACCAGTGGGTCCACAAACAAGAACCACACCCCCCCAGGGAGATATCCCTTGAATCATCCTTCTCCATGGGATCCAGTAGGGTGTCCTAATCCACGTCCCTGAACTCCAGGGTATGCGTTTAGATTTTATCCTTGAAATAGCTCTCAAGTTCATCCACCTCTCCCCATCTCTACCTTTGTCATCTTAATTCAAGCCACTGTCATCTCATCTCTCACCTGGACCATGCATGGCCTTATAAATAATCCCCTACATTCATTCTGTCTCCTTCCAATCCATCCTGTCCCCTGGTTAAAACAACAGAACAGTT
Organism: Homo sapiens; assembly: GCF_000001405.40. Lineage (NCBI taxonomy): Eukaryota > Metazoa > Chordata > Mammalia > Primates > Hominidae > Homo > Homo sapiens. The sequence goes on from NC_000006.12 coordinate 159,589,281, forward strand.
TCTCATTGCTCTTAAAATGCAAGAACCCAAACACGGCCTATGAGAGCCTGCACAGCTCCTTCCAGCACCTGCAACCCCATCTCCCACCACACTACACACTTTGGGCCCAGCCTCCTGCTCTTTACACACATACTTGGTCTTCCCTTTGCTCACAGTACTTCTCCCTCCACTCCACCTCCTGATCTCTGCTTGAACCTCATTTTCCAGCCAAACTTTCCTAACATCCTTGAGTAGGCTATATCTCCACCATGCGCTCTCCTTACACAGTGCACATCTCCTGCACAGCATACAGTGACCCGCTTAAGATCCACAACTCCTATAGAGAGTAAGGTCCAAGGAGGCATTGTACCCGCACAGCCAGACAAGTCACCTGGCACAGAACAGGTAATTAGTAAATATGTGTTGAATAAACAAAATAAAAATGGAAGTGCATGCGAATAGTTCTCGGCGGTTCACAAAGTCCTTTTGCACCCATTACGGCATGTGTCCCTCACACCTTTACTTTGAGGTCAATACTATCCCCTCCTTTCTATAGATGAGAAAACTGGGAGTGCTCAGATTTAGTTTAGTGTTAGTCCCCTGTGGCTTTTTAAAATTCTGTTTTGTTACTCCTGCTCTTATCATTATTACTTCTGTCCCTGTCTTTTTTGGGTCTGCACTGTTGCTTTTTTCCTTACTTCTTTCTTTTTATTTTTTTTTTGTTTTTTATATTTATTTATTTATTTATTTATTTATTTATTTATTTATTTTGAGACAGAGTCTCACTCTGTTGCCCAGGCTGGAGTGCAGTGGTGCAATCTCGGCTCACTGAAACCTCCGCCTCCTGGGTTCAGGCCATTCTCCTGCCTCAGCCTCCTGAGTAGCTGGTACTACAGGTGCCTACCACCACACCCGGCTAATTTCTTGTATTTTTAGTAGAGACGGGGTTTCACTGTGTTAACCAGGATGGTCTAGATCTCCTGACCTCATGATCTGCCCGCCTTTCCTTACTTCTTAAATTGAAACTCAACTCGCTGTTTTATTAAACATTTAAAGTCAAAAATCTCCCTCCATATATTCCTTTAACTACATCCCACAATTTTTGATAGTGTTTTTACAGTTATTTAGTTCAAAATATTTAAATTCACTATTATGATATTTTCTTTGATTTATAAATTATTTAGAATTATTTATTCAGCTTTTGAAACACTGATAAAACACATGATCTTTTTGGCTATCTTTTTGGTTGTTGCTCTTAAATTCTGTGCTATTTCAGTCAGACTTGTGTTATTAACAATATTAAATTATTTGATTTTGTTGAGATTTCCTTTATCGTCAAGTACATCATGAAGTATTTTTAAATGTCCCATGAGTGCTTGAAAGACTGAAAGTTACATTTGGTGGCCCATCTTGGGTTAGGGGCTGCTGGACTTAAAGCTACCTGCTATTTCTGAGGAGAAACATAGGTTTATAAAGTCTTTGCTTCCATTTTAATAACACTGCAATAAAATAGTAATATTTCTGCTGATGTACATTTTTGGGCCGTTTTTCTCATTTGCTGTGTTAATTGCTTTACAAACATAACCTTAGTTAATTTTTACAATATCTTTAGAGAGTAGTGTTCCCAGTTTACAGACGAGCATATGTGGCTTATAAAGGTTAATCAACTTTCCCAAGGCAGCTGTGCGGTACAGCTGGTTTCAATCTGGATTTGTATGACTCCAAGGTCCACACCTGTGAGTACAACACGCTGGACTGTCCACGGCAGTGAGCTGCCAGGTCTGAGTGGAGCTGGAGCCATGGGAAGTAGATAATCCCTCTTCCCTCCAACTCAAGGAATGTGGGCTCTGTAGGTTACGGGCATCCCAGATAAAAGAAACACATGGTTCCAGCAGGGACTGTTTCCCCTGCTTGATCTTACAACAGCAAATTATTTTCTCCTAATTGTTTCCAGTAGGGATTGAATCAAGTCTCAGCTGCTTATCAAAACCAGAAGCATCATGTATTTTGGAATGAGAAAGACTGGGCAAGAGGGCCTTGGAGCGCCAGGCCAGGAACTGCCCACAACCATCAGGGGCAACTCACTTCCCCTCACGCACAAGGAGGATTCTTCCTCCCTGGACTATCAAAGCAGTCAAGTGTACCTTCTCTGTTTTAAAATGTATCTAACTTAAGGCCAGTCACTGTGGCTGACACCTGTAATCTTAGCACTTTGGGTGGCCGAGGCGGGTGGATCACTTGAGCTCAGGAGTTTGAGACCATCCTGGGCAACATAGGGAGACTCTGTCTCTATAAAAAAAAAAAAAAAAAAAAAAAAAAAAAAAAAAAAAATTAGCTGGGTGTGGTGGTGTGCTCCTGTAGTCCCAGCTACTCAGGAGGCTGAGGTGGGAAGATCATCTGAGCCCAGGAGGTGAAGGTTGCAGTGAGCCGGGATCACGCCACTGCATTCCAGTCTGGGTGACAGAGGGTGACAAAGCCAGACTCTGTCTAAAATAAATAAATATACTTTAAAAAATAATAAATAAAATGTATTCAACCCAGGGTTGCATGTACTGAGATATAGATATAATTATACCATTAAGACTGAAACAGGGTTGAGCACAATGGCTCATGCCTGTAATTCCAGAGCTTCGGGAGGTTGAAGCCAGTGGATCATTTGAGCCCAGAAGTTCAAAACCAGCCTGAGCAGCATGGTAAAACCCTGTCTCTACAAAAACTGCAAAAATGAGCCAGGCGTGGTGGTGCACACCTGTAGTCCCAGCTACAAAAAAAAAAAAGGACTGAAGCAGAATATATGTGAAAGGAGAAATAAATACACCAGGCCGGGCGCGGTGGCTCACGCCTGTAATCCCAGCACTTTGGGAGGCCGAGGCGGATGGATCACGAGGTCAGGAGATCGAGACCATCCTGGCTAACAAGGTGAAACCCCGTCTCTACTAAAAATACAAAAAATTAGCCGGGCGCGGTGGCGGGCGCCTGTAGTCCCAGCTACTCGGGAGGCTGAGGCAGGAGAATGGCGTGAACCCGGGAAGCGGAGCTTGCAGTGAGCCGAGATTGCTCCACTGCAGTCCGCAGTCCGGCCTGGGCGACAGAGCGAGACTCTGTCTCAAAAAAAAAAAAAAAAAAAAAAAAAAAAAACAAAAAAAGAAATAAATACACCAAAAAATCTGTTAATACAGTTACTTTGAGTGAGCATTCAAATACACTGTGAGCTTTCTGGTCACTTTGGCAAAAAAGGAAAAGTGGTGGGTTCTGTAATTTGAAATACCTGAGGAAAGAATGCAAACTCATTCAACAAGGGGGACTTTTTTTTTTGGTAGAAGATCTCTAAAATCCCTCTGCCTGTAGGTTTTATAAGAGCTCAAAGCACATGAAATTAATTCATCTCGCTTGTTTAAACTTCTTCATATTGCTCACTGTTATTGACTACAAACTTCACCTAACGCGAATATTAAACCCACCCATGTGGAAATAACAATTGGCTTTAGCAATAACTAAGAAACTAGTGAAGCAACTCTGAGCCACCACTGCATAGTGTAAGGTACTGGTTAAAATTATGGGCTTTGTAGTCAGAAAGATTGGAATTGCTGTGAATACTAAATACATCTATAAAGATTACCATAGAGCCTGGCAAATGGTCAGTTCTCAATAAACTATGATTTCCACATAATGGGGGACTTGCATTTGACTTTGGCATGCCATAACACTCAACAATCCGACCATCTGTCTAAACGTAAATGTCACCAGTTACAACCTAACCATCCCATCATCTCTCTAAGCCAGGGGCTGAGCATACTCTAGGTCTTGACTGCCTGGGAAGTCTTGGCTCTGCCTCTTACCAGCCATGTGTCCTTGGGCAAGTCTCTTAACCTCTCTGGGCCTCAATTTCCTTGCATATAAAATGAGAATGATAATGGTACCCACCCAATAGAATTGCTATGATGATTAAATAAATGAATATATGTAAAGCGCTTAGGGCAGTGCCTGGTGCTTCATAAGGGCTGTATAAATATTAGCTATTGGCCGGGCACAGTGGCTCACGCCTGTAATCCCAGCACTTTGGGAGGCTGAGGCAGGCAGATCACTTGAGGTCAGGAGTTCAAGACCAGCCCGGCCAACAAAACGAAACCCCATCTCTACTAAAAATACAAAAGTTAGCTGGGCATGGGGACGCACATCTGTAATCCCAGCTACTTGGGAGGCTGAGGCAGGAAAACTGTTCGAACCCAGAAGGCAGAGGTTGCAGTGAGCCAAGATCATGCCACTGCACTCCAGCCTGGGCGACAGAGCAAGGCTCTGTCTCAAAACATTAAATAAATAAATAAATAAATAAATAAATACTAGCTACTGTTACAGTTATTCCCCAACAGAAGAGAAACTAGGCTAACAAATGAAATATATGCCCAATATACATATTTTGGAAGCTCTTTACCACCAGAAAACACACCAGGAATTGAAGTGGGAACTTGAGTTTTGTTTTTTGTTTGTTTGTTTGTTTGTTTGAGATAGGGTCTTGCTCTGGGTCTCGCTCTGTCACCCAGGCTGAAGTGCAGTGGCATGACCATAGTTCTCTGCAGCCTTTAACTCCCAGGCTCAAGCGATCCTCCCACCTCAGCTTCCTGAATAACTGGGACTAAAGGTGTGGAAACTTGAGTGATGTTTGTGTTTGTGTTTTCACTGGAGTTTTGTGGAAGGCCAGATAAGATGTCTATATTCCAAATGCTGAGAGATTGTATTCTGTAGCTGAAACTCCTAGTTCCATATTTGAATAATTATTGAAGCAAATTTGGATCCTATGTGAACATACAGAGCTATTTTCAGTCATTAATTAACAGAGACTTACTGTGGTCATGTGGAAATGGACTCCATTTTCTTTTCCAAAGAATTTACCCACCACAGTTTCATCTGGAAACTGGCCAGCTGGATGAGTCTCATGTGGTTAGTGCTTAATCAGCAGGAATTAACCAGGGACCTTCACTAGAGTGGACCTACCCCAGTTTGGAGACCACTGGAACACAATACAATCTTCAGCAAGTTTCTTCATCTTTCTGACTCTGTGTTTCTCCTTCTGTATAATTCAAACAACCATCTCTGCCTCACAGGGCCATTTACATGATGAAATAAGATGACACAGGAATAAGACACCTCCTAGCTCGGTGCCTGGCCAACAGCAGGCACTTGCTAACTATGCTTTTCATCTATTTTCTTTCCTAACAGATGTGGCCTCTGCCCGGAAGTGAACCTTGAGGTGGCTGACCCTTCTTCATCAAGCAGGGAGCTGTGGTTCAGGGCAGGAGCCCAGGGAGCAGGGGCGATGCAGGGTGTCACTGAGCTCAGACCTCCTGAGTTTGTGAAGTCCAGGAAGCCCCAAGTTGGCAGCGGCCACATGGGCAATTGTCTGAGCAAGGGGAAGAGGTTTCTGGGCCACTGTCAGTACAAACAGGGGCTTCCTCAAAGGCATCAGCTGCAGGCCGAGGAACGGGAGAGCGGGATGAGGCAGTGAGGGTCTTTGGAGGAGTTCTGAAAGCTTGTCTGGGGTCCCGCTTCATCTTTATTATTGTTACAAATTAGTTCCATGAATCAGTCAGGTCATTGAGGTTACTCTGAAAGGAAGCATTTGAGAAGTGGGAGGATTTCTTCTTTCATTGTTGGGTGACTAATACAACAATCTTTATTTATATATTAGTCATGGGATTCTGTGAGTATTTTAGGAAAGAATAGGGACCTTTCATTCAACACCCAAAGTCTCTGTTTTTAAACTCTTCAGAAGGCCCTGGGAGGAAAACACCTACCCAGCTATCTTTTCCACCCAAGTAAGAAAACAAATGATGCTGAGAACAGCTTCCACATAAAATAGAGATGCTGAATTCATCCTTGGTTTTTAAAGCATCCACTGAGAAATTCTCAGAAAATGGAGCAAATGGTGTAGTGTTCATCCACAGACACTGGAAGAAATAGAAAAGGAACATTCTTTAGTGAAATGAAACCCTTTGAGTTCTGGGTGCTTCACAGTATTTGGGGACTCCCCTTGTGGCGCAAGCTGCAGTAGGAGCTACAGGAATTCAAGAGACAGCAGGAAATCGCCAGTCAGGGGAAAACTGGGCAGAGAGGAGGGCAAAGTACCAAATACACCCTCACCAGGCTGGGCAGACTTTCAAAAGCTGAGTAATGATGTGGCATTGTTGCCTGAGTGCCCAGATTTTACTCACCCTCATGTTTGGGTATACAAAACATTATTTGCGGATCTGGAAGGAGAGATACCCTCATGTCATGGTGAGAGTTAAGTTTAATCATTCAGAGATACAATAACCCAGTGATTCCTAAAAACAGAGCTCACATCAAATGAGCCCCCTGCTGTAGAAATCACGATCTTCTGACTGAAAGATTTCTTTCTTTTCTTTTTTTTTTTTTTTTTTTTTTTTTTGAGGCAGAGTCTCTCTCTCACCCAGGCTGGAGCGCAGTGGCATGATCTCGGCTCACTGCAACCTCCACCTCCCAGGTTCAAGCAATTCTGCCTCAGCCTCTCGAGTAGCTGGGACTACAGGCATGTGCTGCCACACCTGGCTAATTTTTATATTTTTAATAGAGACAAGATTTATCCGTGTTGGCCAGGCTGGTCTTGAACTCCTGACCTCAGGTGACCTACTGCCTCAGCCTCCCAAAGTGCTGGGATTACAGGCGTGAGCCACCACGCCCCACTTAAGATTTCTTTTTTAATTGTCAGTTTCTAATGTATCATTACTTCTTCCCCAAATCACTTAAATCAGACACTTGATTTCAACCAATCAGTAGCTTCTACAGGAAGTGTGGCCTTAATCCTTTGCTTATTTTCCAAAATGTGCCCATGACACACCCAATGTGTAATCAATACATATTGTTGCCTGTGTCTACCATACCCTGGAGACTGAGCCAAGAACAGAGTGATATAAACAAAACATAAACATACGACAAGTTAAATAACAACCCCAAACAATGAACACTGAAGATACAACAGAAAATCTATGTTTAATTTGCAAATAACACTAGAGAAGATGAAACACCAAGTTCCATGCAGAGAACCAGCTCTGTGGTCCACAGTGGGCTGGAAGTCTTAGGGGAGAGATAGATGAGTCTTGACATAAACCTTAAAATATAAGTAGAAGTTAAAAAAACATGAGAGGCCAAAAGAAGACATTCCAGGGCAGAAAAAATATATATATATGTGTGTGTGTGTGTGTGTTTGTGTGTGTGAGTAAAGGCTAGAAGTCTGAACAATGTTGGTAAAGTTTCTTAAAGGGAAGCTTTATCGCCTGAGACCAGGACCAACCAGCAGAGAAAGCAGTAAGTAGAAGAGCTAATCTGATCTCTACCTCTTTAATGAAAATGCAGAGCCCCAGTTGGGGGCACAAGGGGAATCTCTGCTTCCCATGGGCCCTCAGCCCCAAACCTTGGGGAGTGGGTGGTCCCAAGGGATTGCAATCTTGGCTCTTGGAAGTGCCCAGTACCTAGACCAGGAGCAGGTGAGAGGCCCCAAAGTCGCTCACCATCCCAGGGCAGGCCAAGGCACTTAGGGCCCATGCTGCACCCGACTCCTCTGCACACAGGGGTAGAGAGTGACAGGAGGCCATGGACCTCCCCACCAACACCCCTAGGCAGAGAAAGACAGGGCTCTGGAGCAGAGTGCAAAGGGAAGCTGCGCAGGGCCAGGTACCCCAGGAGGCTGGGTGCATGCGACTGCGAGCAAGTCCCAGAGAGGCAGTGGGAATACCTGGTGCACCCCTCCCATCGGACTTCACTTACAAAATGCAAATTCCAGCCAGGCACAGTGGCTCACGCTTGTAATCCCAGCAATTTCAGCGGCCGTGACAGGCAGATCATTTGAGGTCAGGAGTTTGAGACCAGTTTGGCCAATATGGTGAAACCCCATCTCTACTAAAAATACAAAAATTAGCTGGGTGTAGTGGCGCATGCCTGTAATCCCAGCTCCTCAGGAGGTTGAGGCAGGAAAATTGCTTGAACCTGGGAGGCAGAGGTTGCAGTGAGCCGAGATCACACCACTTCACTCTAGCCTGGGTGACAGAGGGAGACTCCGTCTCAAAAATATAAATAAATAAAACGCAAATTCCAATAAGATTAAGAATCTCAGGATGACAAACACAAAGCCTTAAGCCCCAAGCACAAAGCCCTTTCTGATCTTGCAGCCCTGAGTGACTGCACGGGTCTCCATTCATGAGGGACCTGCCGGTGTTCCACGCAGGCTGCCCTCCCTGCCCCAGGAACTCCATCTACTCCCCACCCAACTTTAGATTATGACCACTTTCTAAACAAGTCTGAAAAGCTGCTCTGCTAATGGTTTACCAGCACCACCGGTGGCGCATATGCTGTGCTCACCACGGGAGTCAGTCCCTGGTGGATCTGGATCTGGGAGCGAAGGTGGCCCTGTGCCTTCCCTGGAAAGAATGAAGAACCCGCCGGGAAGGTGCCCTTTCCCAGTGAGCTCGTGCTCACTCTGCAGCGATGCAGAGCCCAGAGAGGAGGACCTAGGGCTCACGGCAGCATCTTACGAGTCAAGGCCTCAGATGTCAGCGAAGGCTCAGGCAGTTTATTCTTGCACAAACCACAGTCAGCCTTGGAGACATGGAGAAAGAGTCAGGTGACCCTGAAAGGAGCTGGAGTTTCAACAGTTCACTTGTCTTTACCACAGTCAGAAAAATACCTTTTATGGTGAAAACAATTAACTTATTCTCACTTCTTTGGTTCATGTGTCCAAAGTTTCTGGAATTCTTTTAGCTAACCCATTTGCCATTTAATAAGGGCCTTCTAGAGACAAAAGCTTCCAAACACAAAGAGGTGACCATTTGCAAGAACTTGAGGCATTGTTGCATGTTGGTAAAAAGGATCTTTTTAAAAACAAGCCTTTAGGCTGGGCTCAGTGGCTCATGCCTGTAATCCCAGCCCGGGAGGCTGAGGCCAGCAGATCACTTGAGGCCAGGAGTTTGAGACCAGCCTGACCAACACGGTGAAACTCCATCTCTACTAAAAACACAAAAATTAGCCAGGCATGGTGGTGAGCACCTGTAATCCCAGCTACTTGAGAGGCTGAGGCAGGAGAATTGCTTGGACCCCGGAGGCAGATGTTGCAGTAAGCCGAGATCGTACCACTGCACTCCAGCCTGGGCAACAAAGTGAGACTCCATCTCAAAATAAAATAAAATAAAATGAAAATAAGCCTTTATATTGCATCAAAGGATAGCAGAATAGCCCTCCTATCCCAGGAACATGGATGCTGTTCAAGTCTCTGTATGACACAAGAGACCCTTCACTGCCCGAGTGCAATTTCTCTCTGCCTCATAGACAAGGGGAACAAACTCCGGCAGAGCCAAGCAAGGGTGTGAGGGGCCAGGTGTATTTCCATGGCACATTGTTGGCAGCCACGCAAACAGGTTCTGGTTATTTATTCCTCATCATTCCAGAGGCAGCAGGGACAGTGACTCCCATAGCCTGGCATATCACATCTTGTCACTCTGTCAGGGAAGACTGTCTACATAAGAAATGAAGGACAGAATCAAATCCTTTTCATAAATCACCAACTGACTCAATTTGCAAAACCCAAAATAGTAATAAAGTTACACAAAGTCACAGTGTATGTAACTTTAAGCATTTTCCCATTTTTGCACCTCTTCTTTTTTTAGCCAACCAGGATCAAAGGCCAAATATCCTATCTGGAATAAGAAATCCTTAAGAAAAATGAGTATGGGTCTTTTTGGGGTGCATCTATTATATCCTTCCATATTTCATATCTTCCCAGAGAAATAGTGTTTGTTTTTATTCCCCATACCTGAGAGAATTCTAGAATCTCAGTCTATTTCAGTTGTCCAGAGAGGAGAATCGAAGGCCCAATAGCTTCCTAAGAATGGGTCCGGGCTTAAACACAAACAAGGCTCAGCTCTCATGAACTTTATCACAGAGCAGGAGGGGGGCAAATAATAAACTAGGATTTTTTAGTTTATTTATCTGATAGGATTACCAGATCAAGGTAAGTGCTCTGGAGGAAACAGGGTAATATGCGGGGATGGGGAGTGACTCCAGCTGATTCCTTTGGGACCACAGGAACAGTGAGTACAAAGACCCCAAGGCAGCCAGTCACATCATCCTTATTCAATGGGCCACTGATGCTGACGATAAGGAGCAAAGCTGAGAAAAGTATGGGATGAGATCAGAGATAGCCAGGACAGGTACGTGAGGCCTTGTTGGTGCTGGTGAAGAGTCTGGTTTTTATCATAAGTTCAGAGAAAAATTGACAGAGGTTTTGGTGCAGGAGGAGGAACACCCTCTGCATTAGGTTTGAAAAGGTCCCTCTGGCTACTGTGTGAAAAAGTGGTTGTAGGGCCTGTGTTTTTTGCTAGAGCTGCTGTACCAAAGTACCACTACCTGAGTGGGTTGAAACAACAGATACTTATTTTCTCACTGTTCTGGAGGCTTGGACTTCAAAATCAAGGTGTTAGCAAGACCATGCTCCCTCTGAATCCTCTAGGGGACAATCCTTCCTTTCCTCTTCCTAGCTTCTATTAGTCCCAGGCAGTCCCTGGCCTGTGACAGCATCACTCCGATCTGCCCCATCGTCATGCGGCCATCTTTCCTGTGTAACTCTGTCCCTTCTCCTCTTGCTGTAAAGACACCAGTCTGATCGGATTTGGCCCCACCCTCATAACTTTGTTTCACCTTGATTATATCTGCAAAGGTCTGATTTCTATAAATAAGATTACATTCAAAAATCACCTGAGAGTTAGGACTTAAAGATAGCCTTTGGGGGACATCATTCAACCAATAACAGGGCCAGAGGAGCAGAGGCAGGGGCTTTTAGGAGGGAAGGAAGAGGTGAGATTCTAAACACATTAAATCTTGACTATGTTTCATAACTCTACCCACAAGACTTGTGGAGGGTGAAGGAAAGAGGACAATTGAGAGTGACTTCTAGAATTTCAGATAATGCAACTGGGAAGATGGTGATGCCACTTACGGAGATGGGAGAGTAGGGGGTAGGTCAGGCTTAGAGGGCAAATCAACAGCTCTATTTGGGACATGTTAAATTTGAGATCCCTTCTAAACACCCAAACAGAACTATGAAGAATATGCTTGGGAGTAATGTCTAGACCTCAGGTGAGGGTCTGGACTGAAAATGTAAATTTGGAAATTAGTAACATGCAGATCTTCATTTTGATTTGAATTCCATCATGAGACCGTTGAGATTTTGAATAAGGCAATAATATTAAAACAAATGATAAAAACTATTTTCATCATCTCATATGTTTCCCAAGAAAGTCATTACTTTAAACTTCCAAGCGAAAAGAGAATATCATGAGGCCAGAATATTTTTTAAGGTGAGTAGATGCCTTGGTTTATGTTGTGTATTTGAAAAAGTGATTGAACCCTGTGTTGCTGGCTTTGTTACTCAAGAACTTCTGAACTCCTGGATTTGGTTATCTGTCAAGGATAGGTATATCTTGTCTGGCACCAATTTTTTTCATGTTTTGAACAAATATTTATAAATCTAAAATAAGCTGTAATAAAGAGTCTGGCTCCGTGGATTGGTGGGGCTTTTAAGCCTCACCCATCCCTCTCCAGCTCCCACATCTGAGCAGGCTGATAGGAAGCCTGGGTGTTCCCTCTTTGGCACCAGCAGGACACGCAAGTCGTGCAAGCCCCTTCCCATGCACTGGAACCCTCACCCCAGCCCCACCCATGGCCATAATAAAAACCTCAAGCCAGTCTCCTTTCCCTGCTTTCACAAGACATTTTCAGACCAACCTGGGAAGCTTTCCTTGCTCTCCCCAAAAGCCTGATAGTGTGTGTAATAAACCTTTTTACAGTATCTTTGTATGTGTGTGGCATCATCAGTCTCAACATCCAAATTTTGGGTGCAAGTCTATCCTGCTTCTTCAAAGCTAACCTCCCAGAAATCAGGGATGAAGCACTGTCTAGGAAAGAAAAGACATGCTTAGCATTACTATATAAAAGAAAAAAGCAGCTTAGGGCCTGATGAAACAGCTGGATCCATGAGAGAGGAATCTCATGAGCCTGGGGTCACTCAGTAAGACCCCCACCTCCTTAGCCTGGCTTTTCCATGACGCAGTAAGACCCTCCCAGCTAGCCACCGCTACAAAAGCCATCGGAGGGAGCCATTCTCCACGGAGCAGCAGCAGCAAAGCATGGGTGGAAAGAGGACTGGGGGCTGGCTGGCCTTCCTTGGGGAATTCTTTTCCAATACAAATCAAAATCTACTTTGCAAGCGAAGTGTTCGTAAATTGTAGAAATTCACCTCATGGTATAGGGGCCAGAGGATGAGTAGGGGAGAAAAAGAGATGAAGAAAGGATTATGAAGCCTTGGCCAGAGTGAGAGGGCCAAAATGACACCCTCTAGCTGGTCAGAATAAGACAAAGGATCGAATTACCTGGAAAGCATATGCGTCTGTGGAGTGAATATTCTTTCCTCTAAACCACTCAGAGTTTTCAGGGGAAGTCCTCGGAGAATCAGTAACCTCTAAACATATTACATCTTGACTATGCACCTGTTTCGTACTTGTTAGCAGGAAATGTGCACTAAATTACAGGAACGCACAGCCAGGAAAGAGGGGTCGTGGTCTGGGTGCAAGTGGCAGATGTAAGGGCAACGTGGACAAAACCCATGGAGGTCGCAAAAGACACAAGAAAACACACCCTTTGGTCTGGTTCAGAAGGAAGCAGGAAGGAACACACGGGGACCTTTGGGTGCTATAGAAAGAGGATGAGAGAGCTGGGACTGCACCCTAACAGACGGGAAACTCATTGAACAACTCTCTTCCTTGATTTCTCTTCTATAAAATAATGAGGTTAAATTGGATGATCTCTAAAGTCTGAAATCACTACCTTTCCATAATTCATGGTCCCTAAATCAAAAGCATCAGGCTTAACAATCCGAAAGGAGGCCGGGAGGGAATATGACCAGATTCAGTTCCCTTCCAGCAGATCTTTATTATTATTTTTTTCTTTAATCTGTGAGTCCATCTGAACAAGATGCCAACCTTCATACCCCAGAAGTAAAGTAAGATCCCCCACTGAGTCCCGGGGTCCCTGGGAATCCACTGCCCTCCCTGGGGCTGGAGCGCTGGGTGCCAGTCTCCACTCTCCACCACACTCCTCTTTTGACCCCACCGCCAGTCACGAGGCCGCTGGGAAATAACTCAATCCCTTCAGCTCCTGGCGATAACTTATACAGGGTTTCTCCACGGGAACTGCCAAAAACATCTAAGCTCCTTCCCGCAGTTGGGAATCGCTGCCCTGCAAATGAAAAAGGAGACTAAACAAGAGCAGGGAGGCGGTGCAGGCCCCCGACAGCGCAGAAGCCGCTGGACCTGCAGCTGACTGAAGCCCACAAAATGCGCACCAGGAAAAGGCTGGTTTCCGCTCCGTTTTTAAAGCATGAGAGAAGCTACTGAGAACTGAAAAGTAAAGTCAGAATGCTTTGAAGGATATATATGCTAATGTTTTTACATTATGCTTTTGGCCAGCAAGCCACCAGAACATCTGTTTCTAGCTAGGAGACTGCTCTCGGGAAACACTTTGGCAAATGTTCCCCTCCCACCTCGCAGCCCCACCCTTAGGCCAACCCCTCCTCACCGCCCGCTCCACGTAAAAAGCAAGAACAAGGGGCACGAAGTCCAGGAGGTCTGTGGTCCTGGCTGCTGGAGCCCGCGCCTGGCTCTCGGTGCTCAGCGCTGAGTTTCCATGAGGCTCCCCAGGTGAGGACCTGCCAGAGCACAGCAACGCGGCATGGGCAGGCACCTCCAGGCCTGGCTGGCAGCGCCCTGGGAGTGGTCCCCTGGTACCTCTGCGGCGGAAAGAGGGTAACAACAGGCTTCCTATCTGAGGCTAACCCCTAGGTCGACGTACCAGGTCTCCAGCTGTTATTCTGACTGCCTCCATCTCCAGCTGCGGTGTGATTGCTGGAGCCCCCGTCCTTCACCGTCGGCCCTGGAAACTTCCCAGTGAAAGATACAAGAAACAGGGAGAGGTGGCCGGCTTAGTCCGATTTGTGCTGCTCTAACAGAATACCTGAAACTGGGTAATTTATAAAGGAACAGATATTTATTTCTTACAGTTCTGGAGACTGGGAAGTCCAAGATCAAGGGCCTGCATCTGGTAAGGGCCTCCTTGTGGTGTTATCCCATGGACGAAGGTAGAAGAGCAAGAGAGGAAGGAGGCCGAATTTATCCTCATGTCAGGATCCCATCCTCAATAACGAACCCACTCCCTCAGGAACAGCATTCATCCACTCACTAGAGCAGAGCCCTCATCTCCTAATCACCTCTCTTAAAAGTCCTGCCTCTCAACACAATTGTGTTGGGGATTGAGCTTCCAACACATGAACTTTGGGGACACGTTCAAACCATGGCAATGGCTGTCCTCATGTTGAATATTAACTGAGATAAAGTCTATCTACTAGACTTGAAGACCCTGCAGGAATTACCACTAATTCATATGTCTAAACTGCAATAAATTATAGCAGGAAATAAAATGGAATTTCCAGGAGCTAAACGAGAAGATCTTATGAACACAAAGAAGAAAGCAACAGACATTGGGGTCTGCTTGCATGGGGAGGGTGAGGGAGGAGAGGAGAAGAAAAGGTAACTATTGGGTACTGGGCTTAGTACCTGGGTGATGAAATAATGTGTACAGCAACCCCCCGGGACACGTGTTTACCTATGGAACAAACTTTCACATGCGCCCCCAAACCTAAAATAAACATTAAACAAATAAAAATAGAAATAGGATGGAATTCTGCTTTGCCTCCTTAACATTATGAGTTTTTTCATAATCTTCTATTTTGTGTGTCTGATATTTGAATCTTTGAAATGTTTGATCATTTCAAACACCAGCTCTATCTTCTCCCTCATCATGGGTATCATGTTATGGAATTCACTTCTCCCTTCTTCTCTGCACACTTAAAGGTCTTCACAAAAATGTTTAAATCTCTTTACCCCCTTTTGTCTATGAAGTTCTTTATCCCATAGAAGGGGTGACAGGCTAGGAGGCTGAAGGACATCATGCATTCTGACAGAGAAATAACACTTTCACTACAAACTGAAAAATGTACCCTCTTGAGTCAGTATTTCCCTCGTGCTATTTACACAGTCCTATGAAATAAGGAAACGTGGAAAGATCACTCTACCTTGAGGGCCCAGAAGAGTGAGCGATGGCCCTCTGGCTTCAGGGGAGCCCATGGTTAGCAGGCCACTTAACAGGAGAAGCCCTTCCTGGTTTAAAACTTCATCTGTTTCATGTTATCCTCATTTCTTTCCAGACCATTCTTCACCCTCCTTGCCTTCTCCCTACTGGCATCTCAGGCCTGACGTCACGGCTGTGTGTGAGGTGTAAATGTGTGTAGTGTGAATGTGTGTGTGGCGTGAATATATATGTGGTGGATGTGTGGTGTGTGGTGTGTATAGTATGTATGTGTATGTGGTGTGTGGTGTGAACGTGTGTGCAGTGTGTGTGTGTGGTGTGAATGTATATGTGGTGCATATGTGGTGTGTATAGTATGTATGTGTATGTGGTGTGTGGTGTGAACGTGTGTGTGGTGTGTGTGTGTGGATGATAGGGGTGGTGTGTACATGGTGTGGTGTGTGTGTGTTTGTGGGTGGGTGTGTGTGTGTGTAGGGGGATGTTCCTCTGGTTCTCACAGCCGCCATGTCAATGTCTTGTTGACGCAAACCTCTGTCTTGGAAGTCAGCTTCTGTCTCCACTGCCAGGTTTCTTGGAGCTTTTAATATGCCAGTGTGCATCATGGAATGTAGTACTTGACACAGGTGCTTATTGGCAGGCAGGGGCCCTGCTGGTCCCAGCCATCAAGTTATCTCTTCTTCTTTAATGTGATGAATACACCTCTTTTGGAAGCCCTATGTTGCCCTCAGAATCACCAAGGAGCATGCAGTTAGTGAGCAAAAATTAAATACCAGCCTCTGGCAAACCTAAATCCAAATATGTCCCCATTACTAAGTACAGTATAGTAGCCCTATAGGCAATGGATGGGACTAACTGCATATAAATGACCAGCTTTGTCACCCAGGTTAGAGTGCAATGGCATGATCTTGGCTCACTGCAACCTTTGCCTCCTGGGTTCGAGCAATTCTCTTGTCTCAGCCTCCTGAGTAGCTGGGATTATAGGCATGCACCACCATGCTTGGCTAATTTTGTACTTTTAGTAGAGACGGGGTTTCACCATGTTGATCAGGCTGGTCTAGAATTCCTGACCTCAGGTGATCCACCTGCCTCAGCCTCCCAAAGTGCTTTCTATCAGAGCATTTTGGAACTTAAAAGTTGTCCTCACTGTTGAGTTGTAAAGATACTTGTCTCAATGGATTAGCATCCTACGTGTTCTGCCCTGAAATGTAACCTTAGATAGAAATCTAAGCTTGAACACCCATTGCTCTGCAAGTCCAGGACAAGAGTCTATTGCCAAAACCCTAGCTGAGTTTTCCAGAAAGAGCCCATCTGAAGACTAGGGATGTTCTATCTTCCTCTAATTGCCTCCTAACCTCTTCCCCATTCCACCCTACCAGATCATTCCATAATGGAGGAGATGAATGCTTTTATAATCCATTAGAGGAAACCCATAGAGGCCTCACCCAAAGCAGATCTGCAGTGAGCATTTGTGTCTAATAAAGATGCTGAAAACTGCCAACTCACCCTCATCAGAACCAGGTGAACAAAAAAAGGGGAAGGGTACTTAATGTGTGTAAGCAGTGCCAGGCAGTGACATAAGATAACTTGTTTGTACCACAAACAGTTCCAAAACATAGGCTTCATTATCTGTTTTACAAATAAGAAAACTCAAGCTCAGAAAGGCTATTTATTTACTTTTTATTATTATTATTATTATTATTATTATTATTATTATTATTATTATTAGAGATGGGATCTCACTGTGTTGCCCAGGCTGGTCCTGAATGCCTGGATTCAAGTGATCCTCCTGCCTTGGCCTCCCAAAGTGTTGGGATTATAGGCATGAGCCACCATGACCAGCCAAAAAGGCTACGTAATTTGTTTATGATCACAGCATTAAAAAAGCCATAATTTGAATTCAAGTTTATTTCTCACCTAGAAGCTTAAACTAATTCCACTATATCCGCTGCTCTGTGCGGTACTTGTTTACGAGGCAAATGAGAATAGAAATGGTTTTTTGGATCAACACCTTTAACCAGGTTGGAGTTTCCTTCTATTTTTAGTTAACTGAGAGATGTTATCATAAATGAATACTGAATCTGACAATGCTTTCTCTTGGTCTATTGCAATGAAAACATGATTTGACTTTAGGTTTTTTTTTTTGTTTTTGCTATGATATTTTGTTGTTTTTGTTTTAGTTTGTTAATGTGGTGAATTATACAGTTTGATTTTTACATTTTAAACCAATTTTGCATTCCTAGGATAAACTCCAGTTGGCTATAACATGTCATTCTTGTTATATATTGTTGGATACAATTTACTAAAAATTTGTTAAGAATTTCTGTAACTATTCTCATGATGATATTAGTCTGTAGTTTTCTTATAATGTCTTTGTCTGGTTTTATTATCCTTTATCATTTATTATAAGGTAATGCTAGCTTCACAGTGTGACATACGAAGTACTCTCTTCTTTAATTGTCTGGAAGAATTTGGGTAGAACTGGAATAATTTTTTTTGTAAATAATTGGTATGACTCATCAGTGAAACCATCTGTGCTTGAAGTTTTCTATGTGGGAAATTTTATAGCTACGAATTCAATGTTTTTAATACATACAGGACTATTTAAGTCATCTATCTCTTTTTGAGTGAGCTTTGGTAATTTACATCTCTCAAGGAATGTGCCCATTTCATCTAAGTTGTCAAATTTATTGGCATAAAATTGTTCACAATAGTCCTTTATTATCTTTTAATATCTGTAGAATCTGTAATGATATCACATCTCTCATTTTTTCTATTGGCAATTTGTGTCTTCTGTCTTTTTTTCCTGGTCAGTATGGCTAAGATTTATTAATTTTATTAATTTTTCTCAAAGATAAATATTCTCTATTGTTTTTCAAGTATATATTTTATTAATTTCTTTATTATTTCCTCTCTTCTACTTACTTTGAAATTAATTTGCTTTTTAAGAAATCGTTTGTTTCCTGAGTTGGAAAGTGAAGTCATTGATTTAAGACTTCTCTTCTTTTCTGATATAATTTAGTGCCCTAACTTTCCCAAGTACTACTTTAGTGTCATGTCATAAATTGTTATCTGCTGCATTTTCATTTTAATTCTGTTGAAAACACTTTTGAATTTCTCCTTTGAATTCTTTTTTGATTTATGAGGTTTTTTAGAAGTGTGTTGTTTGATTTTCAAAGATCTGGATTTTCTAGAATTTTTTTTGTTACTGATATCTAATTTAATTTCATTAGATGAGAGAACATTTACTGTATAAGTATTCTTATTTTCAACGTATTGAGACTTCTTTTATGGCTAATTATATGATCTATCTTAGTAAATGCTCTGTGTGCACTTGAAAAGAATGTGTATACTGCTATTGTTATGTGGAGTGTTCTATAAATGCTAATTAGGTCAGGTTCATTAACAGTGTTGTTCAGGTCCTCTTCTATATCTCTGACAATTTTTCTGTCAACTTGTTCTTTTCATTATTAATAAAGAGGTATTGAAATCTCTAACATGCTTGTGGCCTGGCTATTTGTCCTTGTAGTTCTATCAGTTTTTGCATTACATGTTTTGAAGCTCTGTTATTAGGCACATAAGTGTTTATAATTGTTATAACCTCTTGAATTGACCCCTTTATCATTATGAAATGATCTTCTTTATTTCTGTTAATTACTTTGTTCTCAAATCTACTTTGTCAGATATCATTATAGCCATCCCAGTTTTCTTTGGATTAATGTTCCCATTAGCATAGTGTTAGCATCCTTTTTTCAATAGTTTTACTCCAATTTGGTGAGAATTAGAAATCTTCTGGACATTTTTTTTTCTTTTTTAGAGTCTGATTCTAAAAGACAATTGACATTGCCTTTCCTTGGTCTCAGCTACATGGGATACAGTGGAGGTGGGAGGACTTTTCAGGTTCTTCCCAGCCTGTGACACTTCATATCAGTGGGCCTGGTGAGGCTAGGATAGCTCCGTAAGTTCCCATACAGTTAGTTACCTACTAGAGTTAGAATATTTGACCTATGAACCTCATCCCACCTTTTACCCTATTTGCTTCTGAATCTTCATATTCAGCCCAAGAAAACTCTCTCATTTTCCTGATTGGTCTCACTCTTCTAACTGTAATCATGGCATATCTAATTAGACAGTACCCAAAGGTAGTATAGGGAACAGGGTGGGGGCCCTTTTATTTGAAGTGAGCTTACAATCATGGGAGAGATTCAGCTGTGAGTGCAGTCAACTCTAAATGATCAACTGGTTGAGATACAACATAAAAAAGAAATTGGAGTTTACTGAGGTAGTGAGGCTGGGGAGGAAGAGAAAGGTAACAAGGTGCCCTGAAGACAATTAGTTAATAACTACAGATATTTATCTTTCTGTCTTGAGAGAGCTAAAAGCACTACCCAGGAGTAAATATTTGTCAGATGTTGGCATCAGCCAATGCTTCTTCTAAGCTCCTCTTCAGCCATTCATCAATGTGATGCAAGCTCTCTAGTGGCCATGGCTCCAGATCTTCTCTTCTCATTGGAACTCGCTTTTCGCCTCACCTACTTCTACCCACATGTGCATTGCTGCATTCTCTGACTTCATCTTAAAGTTGTCTCTCATTCTTCCCACTAAACTGCTGGAAACAGAGATAGTACAAACCTTACTCCCCAACCCTGAAACCCCAATGTATCTTGATGAGTACTTGTCCCATCCTTTTGCAAGGCCAGTGGGGCTCTGCTGCCACCTAACTTTTCAGACCAGCAGCACACCTTGCAGACCAGAGATTGCAAACTCATAGCCCCAGGCCAAGTCTGTCCTTCAAGGGTATTTATTGGACGATACATTGTACTTCTATCTTTAATTTCAAAAACTTTAAAAGTCAGGATATTTTACATTAAAATGTTAATTTCCAGCGTATCTTGAAAAATCAGAACCCCTGGCAACACAGGATTTGTCTTTCTAAATGGCAACTCTCTTTAAATGGGCACTTGCTCTCCTGGTGGTCACAGTCACCCCCAGCTGGGTTCCCTCACATTCTTTATCTGCTTGGTCCCTATGAACATTTGGCGCTGTTATTTCTGCTGCAGATGGAAACTTGTGCAGGATAAATATGGGCAGATGCTTTTTTTCCTCTTTGTTGGATGTCACAAACATAATGTCCAGATGTAAGAATTATTTTTAAGAGAGCAGGCGTATAAGACATTTGGACTAAATTATAAACTGTAATGACAAAACTCATCATTTTGCTTTGAGAAATATTGCTTTAAGCCATTTCCTTTAGGCTGCTCACCTGCCTCAATTCTCAGAACTATGATTCGGCCCTGTGTTCATCCTTCAGAATTTTTATGTTTAAAAGATTTGTTTGAAAACACTTAAATACTGACATACAAACTTTTTTTGGCCACAGCATTTTAAACGAAAATAGTATGGAAAGTACATCCCAAGGAAATTCTGAACCTTAAGAAAATGCATATTTTACCACATGTTTTCAATTATTTTGGAATGAAGTTGAAGCTGTGGAGACCAAGCTTGGCACTGGGAACCATTGGCCTGGTCACCATCCCCACAGCTTTCATCATATGACACACAACAGCCTTCCAAACAGAGCCTTCTGAGGTCAGCTTCCAAGTGTCATCTGGCCCAGTCCAGGCCTTTTACAAAGAGAGGAAAATATGTATTATCTACCCTCAAGCTCATGCCCCAGTGAATAAACCAGGATGTGAGATTCAGATGCTTCATTTGTCCTGCACATTGACTCTCAGAGGTGCCAGCTACCTTCCCACCATCTTCCAGGTTTCATTCTTCATTGGAAACAGAAAAGCCTATTAGGGTAAAACTTTATTTTTCTACATGTGTTGGCTTTGAGAGATGGTTTACTTTGAACACCCACCTAGGTTGAATGAGAGTCTTCCCTGACTCAAAAATGGCACAGTATTATTTATGGCCAAGTACAAAGTTTCTTTGGATGAATTATAGCAGAGATTCCATGAACCAACACCACATTCAAGGGACACTCGAATGGTCGAGTAGCAGTCGATTTAGTGTGTGCCAGGAGATCTCAAAGAGTCACTCCTTTAGATGTGTAGGGGAAGAATATTTTTTCTTCAACCCCCATAGGTTCTTAGTTGGAATGGACTCCTTAGAACTAAAGACAGATTAACAAGAGAAAAACAAACAGAAGCTTATGAACATGTATGTCTTGTATATACATGACATATAAGACACCCAGAGAATGAGTAATTCTCCAAGAGGTAGCCTTGATTTCAGCTTATATAGAGTCTTCAACAAAGAACAGTTAATTTTTAGAGAAGTGACAAAACAAAAAAAAAAGGACAAAACAAAGGAAAAGTTGCTAGGGGCAGCAACTAGTAAAAGGCAAATAAATGGCAGACGAAGGCTAGTTAGCAAAGCTTGCTCCTATAGATTCTTCTGGTACCATCTCCAGACAACAAAGGTCTAAAGTTGTGTTCAGTGGTTAACCTTCACTCTCTCTGGTAGAAGCGCGGCAGGACACCTTTTGTCTTTGCAAACCTATGTCCCACTTTAGGCAAATCGAGGTGGGGCAGAGAGCTCTCCTGCATCTGCTTTCTCTTGTCTTTAGTTCAACAAACCTTCATGTTCTGGGCTGCATGTTCTGGTCTCCCACAAACAGATGGCATTCCAGCCACTCCTCAAGAGGCCTGGCAGTTCTGCAGAAGTGTTCGTGGGCTGCCTCAAGGAGGAAAAGCCAAGAATGAGGGCTCAGCCCCCAACCCAGGCCTCAACTAAAGCAGCTCTGTCTTCATCTGATTTAATATTAGCCTTTAGAGTAATGTTTCGTTTAAAGAAAAAAATCCATGAACGAAACATTCAAAAACCACTGCTTAGGTACAGATAATATTTGGACACCTGAATACACTCCCACAAAAACTGTTGTTGTTTTTGAGACACAGTCTCACTCTGTCCCCCAGGCTGGAGTGCAGTGGCATGATCTCGGCTCACTGCAACCTCCGCCTCCTGGGTTCAAGCTATTCTCTTGCCTTAGCCTCCTGAGTAGCTGGGATTACAGGCATGTGCCACCGCACTCAGCTAATTTTTTGTATTTTTTAGTAGAGACGGGGTTTCACCACGTAGGCCAGGATGGTATCGATCTCCTGACCTCGTGATCCACCTCCCTCGGCCTCCCAAAGTGCTGGGATTACAGGTGTGAGCCACTGTGCCTGGCCTTTATTGTTTTTAAACAGCATGCAAGACCTACTATAACCATCCCTCACTCTTAGAGCTATTTCTTTCCTGAATTTAGTCATGGAAGTCCAGATTGACGTGTAAGGCTGCTTCTATTGAGAGACTGCTACCAGGCTCACAGTGTCAAATTTCCACTATAGCTTCAATTAATTATATATTTTTTGAGATTTTCATGTTTAACACCAAGCTACAAATATGAAATTTAAGAAAGATTACTGACATACAGAAAATAACATGAACAAAGTTTCTACGTATCTGACTCATGTTTAAGTCACATCTAATACTCAAAGTCCCTCAATTCATCATTCTAACAAAGGGAATGGCAACAAATGCACACACATTTGGATTTCTGATCACCTGGCCCACCACTGAAAACATGAAAACACTAGGTTACTTCTGAGTTGAGAACCCGACTAATCTGTTAAAAATGTGAATCCTCCTGTAAGTTGCCCCAACAAGCCGTTCTTCAGCTCTAGCTCCTTAATAAGGCGAAGCAGAAAGCTGAGCTCCGAATCCCAAGGGATGCGTCATTTCGGGCCAATGGGATGCCACTATGTGGTTTATTTGTTTTTTTGTTTTGTTTTGTTTTGAGACAGAGTCTTGCTCTGTCACCCAGGCTGGAGTGCACTGGCACAATCTTGGCTCACTGCAACCTCCACCTTCCAGGTTCATCAATTCTCCTGCCTCAGCCTCCCGAGTAGCTGGGACTACAGGCACATGCCACCGCATCTGGCTAATTTTTGTATTTTTAGTAGAGATGGGGTTTCACCACGTAGGCCAGGATGGTATCGATCTCCTGACCTTGTGATCCGCCCACCTCAGCCTCCCTAAGTGCTGGGATTAGAGGCGTGAGCCACCACACCCAGCCCTACGTGTTCTGTAACTGTTTCTCAAGTCCAAAACTAGAACCCTTGGTCTAACACATTTTCCTGTGTCTTGGGGAATATTTATGCTGAATATTTAAAATCTGGACTGTTTAGAAAGTTCTGATTGCACTTCCACCAAAAGCCCAGTGTCCCAGTGGGTAATACGGAAAGCCAGAAGACAAAAAAAGATGGGCGCCCCAGCAGCAGGGCAGACATATACATCGCGTGCCTCACCACTCACTCACCCTGAGTGCTGAGCTTCACCACTGCTTCTTCCCACAGGTAGCGGAACTGGGGACAGGTGTTGGATAATGTATTCGTCCCTTCTCACATTGTTATAAAGAGCTACCTGAGACTGGGTAGTTTATAAAGAAAAGAGGTTTAACTGACTCACAGTTCCACAGGCTGTACAGGAAGCATGGATGGGGAGGCTTCAGGAAACTTACAAATAAGGCTGAAGGTGAAGAGGAAGCAGGCATGGCCTTCACATGGCCAGGAGATGGGGGGTGGGTGCTATACACTTCTAAACAAGCAAGTCTAGGAGGATGGTGCTAAGCCATTAGAAACCATCCCCATGATCCAATAACCTCCCACCAGGTCCCACCTCCAACACTAACGGTCACAACTCGACATGATATTTGGGTGGGGACATGGAGCCAAACTACATCCACTACATTGGGAAAATGCCCTGAGCTGCTCAGAAACACCATCAGGACTTGGGCTTAGGAGCCAGTTTCTAAAACTATGCCACAACGCAGAAGATCCTATACGATTTCTTTCCAACAGAATCAATATTTCTCACTTTATTTTCCTTTTTGCCAATGTATAAGTTTCTCTTCAATATTTTCTATGTGACCCAACCCCACTTAATTCTGTAAACATTTCTGTTTGACTTTAGCAGACACTCACCACACACAAAGCAACAATAACATGCACACAGGGTGGGCTGAGAGAAGCACTGATACAGAAGAGCACAGGACAAACCAAAGGATGGAGGCTCCATGGACCCCCACTGCCTGGGTGACAGCGGCTGGAAGGCAGAGGCTATGGACAAACGGAAGGCCTCTGGAGGCCCCTTTCCCAAACCACAGCCAATCACCAATTTCTACCTGTGTTTAAGGTTGTTCATGTTCTTCTTATCGTAAAGGATGAGTGTGGAAAGATGACATCCTTGAGTCCTGCTAAATCCACCCTCTGTGAGTATAGTTTCTCCATGCAGGAGTAGGCACAAATATCCCAGCCCCTACTACAGGGAGCATAGTGCAGATATCTGCATTTAGCTAGAGGCTAGTCATGTACTTTCTTAAGTCATTACATAGAATTATCAACACATAGGCACTAAGGAAACTTGTTTTGGTGAAAGTTCAAGGGGGAAAATTATCGAAGTGTAAATATTCCATCTTGTCTTTATTCTCCCATTTTATGAAATCATTTGTTTTCCTTCCTTTTGTCTTTCACTCAGTGATCATATATTTAATCATCATGCCCCAGTGGGGAAGCCAGAGACTCTAGAATGAGGATAGGAGTTGATGTAAAATTTCCAGACATCCATGCACTCACTTGTTCCACTGGACCCAGAAGAGCTGTCAAAAGGCCTCATTGCCCTATAAGTCACAGAAAGGACGTCCTAGATCCTTTCTTCCTGGGTCTGAAAATGAATTTTGTCAAGAAAGTCTTTCCAATACCATAATGAAGTTCCTTCTCCAACTGTTCAGCCTAGCAGTTGGCTCATAAGGCAAAAAGGAAACGGAGATGGAAAAGTAGCAAGACAGGCTGTTTCTCACGGGCCCCAGGCCCCCAGCACACAGACACTGTTTCACAAAGTGTTGTGGATGGTCGAAGGGAAAATAGAGCACAGGAAATAAAATTAAAGAAATGAAAGGATTGCCATTTTATCACATCAAAGTTAGGAAAATATATTTTATTTCTTGATTTTACTAAATGAAATGCTTCCACAGCTAACGTTGTTAATTGCTTTTTTCTATTGATATTTCCATTCTGTGGATTAGTGCTAGAATAGAGCTATGAAAGCAAATAAGCATGTGTGTTGAATGTCACAAAATGTTAAATATTCCTTCACATATCTTTATAAATATCTATGATAATTTATAAATATAATTAAATACATAACTAAAAATAAAACTACCATTTGATCCAGCAACCCCACTACTGGGTATCTATCTGTATTAATCTGTTCTCACACTGCTGCTAAAGACATACCCAAGACTGGATAACTTATAAAGAAAAAGAGGTCTAATGGACTCACAGTTCTACTTGGCTGGGGAGGCCTCACAATCATGGTGGAAGGTGAAAGGCACATCTTACATGGTGGCAGACAAGAGAGAACTTGTGCAGGGAAACTCCCCTTTATAAAACCATCAGATCTCATGAGACTTATTCACTATCACAAGAACAGCACAGCAGAGACTCACCCCCATGATTCAATTACCTCCCACCAGGTCCCTCCCACAACATGTGGGAATAATGGGAGCTACAATTCAAGATGAGATTTGGGTGGGGACACAGCCAAACCATATCACTATCCAAAGGAAAAGTAATCATTTTATCAAAAAGATACCTGCACTCATATGTTTAACACAGCACTATTCACAGCAGTAAAGATGTAGAATCAACCTAAATATCCATCAACAGATGATTGGATGAGGAAAATGTGGTATATATACACCATGAAATACTAGTCAGCCATAAAAAAGAATAAAATTGTGTCTTTTGCAGCAACATAGATGGAACTAGAGGCTGTTATCTTAAGTGAAATAACTCAAACAGAAAGTCAAATATCGCATGCTCTCACTTATAAGTGGGAGCTAAATAATGTGAACACATGGACATAGAGTGTGAAATAATTGACATTGGAGACTCAGAAGGGTAGGAAGAGGTGAAGGATGACAAATTTCTTAATGCATACAATGTACATAACACAGGTGATGGTTTTACTAAAAGCCCAGACTTCAACACTATACAATATATCCATGAAACAAAACTACACTTATACCCCTTAAATTTATACAAATAAAAAACATACATTCATTATGTCTTTATGTATATTAGCATGTTTATAAGTTATTATTTATAAATTAATATAATTAATTATATCATGTTTATTGATTAATAAATTTGATATTAATTATAAGTATTCATGACAGCTTTATAAATATTAGTATACTAATTTTAAAATAAGAAGACTAGAGAAATAGAGAAGTATGACTGAGGGCACATCAGAGGCCTCCCCTATTTCCAGAGGGGGAAAAATATTGGGGAAATAAGAATGAGGAAGGAGGATGGGTAGCTGGGTGGATAGAAGCAAGGTCCAGGTCTTTTCGTTCTTCTGGCATCATCTCCACTGATGGCAGCAGCCAACTTCTCATTCAATGTCATTCTCCATCGGCCCAGGTAGGGCCAGTGCATTTCCCCTAGAGGAGCATCTTCTCTTGGGAATAGTTCATATTTCAATGCAAAAAAAAGTGCTTGTTTATCCTCTCAAAATATGAACAAAGAAAAACTAAGGGTGGGAACAGAAATTTGCAAATGAAAGCCAGATTGCAGCCTCTTAAGACTTTTCAAAAGATGATATCATCTCCGTACTATGCACTAACGAGCTCTTGATAATCAGTACTATTTCCATTCTTATAATTACAGCAATCTCTTCAAGCTGTCAGAGCTGTGAGCCTCTGATCCCAGTGGGGCTGTGGAGTTACTACCTTCC